>NC_000010.11:53324913-53476428 GCF_000001405.40 Homo sapiens
AAAAGATCCCCTTAAGTACTTTCAGAATAAAAGTTTCAAGTAATAAGAAAACACATGTCATGGTTTAATTGGCATATATAAACTCCTCCTCATTCGTTCTCCTTTTTAATATAATTTAATTTATTTTATTTTACTTTAGGTTCTGGGATACATGTGCAGAACGTGCAGGTTTGTCACGTAGGTGTGACATGTGCCATGGTGGTTTGCTGCACTTACCGATCTGTCGTCTAGGTTTTAAGCCCCACATGCATTAGGTATTTGTCCTAATGCTCTCCCTTCCCTTTCCCCCCACCCTGCAACAGGCCACAGTGTGTGATGTTCCCCTCCCTGTGTCCATGTGTTCTCATTGTTCAACTCCCAGTCATGAGTGAGTCATTCTCCTTTTAAATTCTGAATCACATATAGATTTGTTTCAGAAATCTGTAATGCCACAACTTAAAATCAGTGCTATGAAATATTCATAAAATGTAGGGATTTCTCCCAAAGTCACAGATCTCAGCATGAGGAGTTAGAATTTGAACTCAGGGTGTTTGAGGGAAGAGATCGTAACAATAATATTTGTACTAGCTCTTGTTTTGAAATCAAATGATAAAAATTAAATTCAGAGAAATTTTGAAAACTTTCTTATTTAATACTCATATATAACAAAGTAACTTTTTTATTGTTACTTTTCTTAATGTGGAGCAATAACAAAAAGAGGCTCCATTATATGAGCCTGTCCTGAATGAAATAATACATATATGAAAGCTGACACTCTTGGGTAAAACATGGAATAATAATGGGGCCAGCTCTTAGAAAGTAGAAAATACAATGGCAGCAGAATTAATGCAAAAGAGAATGTCAGGAAATAAGGAAACACACAAAACTGCAAATGTGAGAAACGAGTTACAACTACAACAATCCCATAAAATCAAGCTTTTTTTTTTTTTTTTTTTTTTTTTTTAACATTAACAAGCCCTTTAGTTACTTCCCATTACATTACTAGATATCTGAGGAAAACCCAGAATATAAAGGTAAGGCGATCAGGTAATTATCTTTAGAATCATAGTAAGAAACAGAACTTAATTTTATGTGAGACAAGATAATAAGACAAATCCTGACAATGGACTGATGAAATAATGATATTGGGACTACAGTGCTATCAGCAGTGGGGGAAATAGCTTCCAACTACCACTTCACTCCCTGACCACATTGATCCAACTTAGCCTCCATTTTACCTCCAAGATGCCATGAGCCATTGGACAAGATATACAGTTATTTAACAAATGATTGTATAGCTTAAAAGTTATATACTTTAGTATACTAAACAAGTGAGAATATCGCTACTAATTATCTCAGCTCCTGAATGAGAAATTCAGGCCAACCATATGCAGAGAAGGATTATCTTTGAACAGTATCTATATCATACTTTTTTTCAAAACAAAAATCAATATTGTTCAAAATCTGGGAAGGGTCACACAGAAGTGGGGTAGTTTCTAACAGTTACCAGGAGTTGCCAGGAAGTTCCTTATTATAAAAGTGTACTTTAGGTGGCAACATGCAACTAACATCAAATAAATTTTAGAGTCTGGAGAGGAGATTTCTGCTGCCAGCATGTATCTTCTACAAGCAAGCCACTTCTCTTATAAAATGTTTAGATACACGCACACACACACACACACGCACGCGCGCACACACACACACACACACACACACAACTTAGCTTCCTAACCAAAGTTGCTTCTGCAATTTCTTCAAGTTCAAATTCATTTATTACTATCCGTGTCAGGAGTCATTTTTGTTGACACAGTTTTCTGCTTTTTTAATCTTTAAATATTGCTGAGAGTGAAAGATGGAGAAATAAGAATATATGGGCAATTAAGTCTAATCTGATCACAACTGCTCATGTGTACAGTGATGCTAACTCCTGATTATTTTTTTCTATTTTACTCAGCAAGGAAGTAGAAAATGAAACTCGAATTGAGACCAACCTCTTACTCGGTTGAATGCTAGGAAAGAAAACTACCAAATCATTAAATAGTGTGGTATGAGCACAGTATTTGGGTAAATTGGGTAAAGATGGAGAAATAAGAATATATGGGCAATTAAGTCTAATCTGATCACAACTGCTCATGTGTACAGTGATGCTAACTCCTGATTATTTTTTTCTATTTTACTCAGCAAGGAAGTAGAAAATGAAACTCGAATTGAGACCAACCTCTTACTCGGTTGAATGCTAGGAAAGAAAACTACCAAATCATTAAATAGTGTGGTATGAGCACAGTATTTGGGTAAATTGTGAGCAGAAAGAGGTGAAATAAAGATGAAGTAATTCTGTTGAATGTCAAACTTAGCTATTTTAAAAGGACAATCATGTTTTCAGAAAACTACAGAAAGTAGGTTATTCTGAACAAAGCTCTGAATAAACTAAAATTGTACTCTAATATTTCCTTCTCTTTGCAGTTCTTCTCAAGATGTCCAGTGCTGTTGACTTTCTTTCTCCCTCCTCTTGCTGATGACTGTTTCCTTACATGGGTCTGATTTGGTCTGCCTAACTCCTCATGACACTGGCCTTTCATTTTTGTTTTTATATTAACATTTATTTAGTATTAACTGCATGTCAGGAATATAGTAAAAGTTATATGTGACATATGTCCCTACTTTGTAATAGATCTATTATTTGGAATGCCAGGATTATTTGGAATTCTAGGAATTTCTGGTGTTATTTCACTTGTTCAAGATGTCAGAACAGGTAAGTAATAGTGCCTGATATTTGAACCAAGTTTTTTTTTAATTCTGAACTTACATATTCTTGAAAGCTATACATTATCTCTCATGTGTACAGTGGTGTTAAATCATAATTATTTATCTCTCGCTCTATCCTTTTCCATCTTCTTTTTTCCTCCCTCTCCTTCTCCCTTTCTCTCTCTCTTTTTGAGCTCCTCCTCCTCCTCCTCCTCCTCCTCCTCCTTTCTTGTTAATCTTTATCATTTCTCTGCCACTAAATGCTGGATTTTTCTGCTTGCCAACCCAGTAATTTAAAAGATCTGCCTAATAGCACAAAAGGGTTGACTGTACTTTCTAAATTCACATTTCTTCTGTTCATGAGGCAAACTAGACTGAGACTAAAATTGCTTAGTCCTAATTCCAAGTTTCTGGAAAAAGAGCCTAATTGTTTGGAGATGGTAAACTCATTCTACAGGTGATGTTTATCTTTTTTTTCTTTCTTTCTTTTTTTTTTTTTTTTGCCTTTCTCTTTTGGTGATTTGAGCCTATGATGTGACATGTATTTCTCTTCCAACTCTTCATTCAAGCCATTTCAGTTTATAAATTTTTGCATACATGAGCAACATGGAAAGTCCTGAGCACAAATCTTTCCGTCTATGCCAAATCCTAATACACGGGGCCAAGCCCCCCTACCCCCACCTGGTTTATTTCAGGTCTCTCTCCTACTTTTATCTCTGCACATATTTGGAATTGCCATCTCTCCTCATGAGCTTCAGGGCAATCAGTGAGTAGAAAAGTCATGATATATTTCACAACTGCTGCCTATAAATTCTGATACAGATAACAGTCTTGTGGAGATTTGCTTAATTGGAAGTAGTATATTGGAAGTTGGGAATATCTGACTCTGATCATAACTCAACCTCTAGGCCTTAGTTCCCACAACTTAAGAACGATTAAATTTAAATTCAGTTTCTTAAGGTTCTGTTTAACTCTAACATTCCATGTATAATATATTTGTCACATGTATTTGCTTAGTTCATCATCTTCTTGTTTCCTTAACACTTGACCTAATTCTATCCCAAGCACTCATGGGAATATCTCAATTTGACATAAGAAAATATTCTACTAACTTTTATCAAACACCTAAATAAAAATTAACATATTAAGTCCTCAACATTGTTGATAGGTTTTTGGAAACTGTGACTTTAAGTAAAATGATGTATAGCAGATCCTCAAATGAAGTCATTTTCTAAAAAATTAGCTTTTTTATTTATTTCCCTTGAAGTCACAGTTACCAAGAACCTATTGATGACCTTAATTGAGGACTTACTATATTACAAAATATATCCACAGTGAAGGAAGTATATTGTAAAGTTGATAATAAAAGTTAATAATCAAATTCAGTTTTGTGTGTTCATGAAACTTGAACAATTTACACTTCATGGTTATACAGTCTGGCAGGGCAGACACACACACACACCAACTCCCCCATCTTATTTTTATTCTCCAGAATATTCAGCAATTTACTCTTGGGCTCATTTCTATGACTTTCCAGCTCTGCCCTAAACATATAATTACTGGATTAAGTAGCTCTCTTATTTCTCAAAGCTAGCTTTCACAGAAAGCATTTACTTTATATTGGAATCAAGCAGAAAAGCTTATCTGACTCACATGCACAGAATTCTTCTTGCTACCACTTACTTTGAGAACCCTACAAACTGTGAAGCTGCCTATCTCTCTATTTTATAATGAAACCATATTTTAGAGCTTTTGCTTGGTCTACTGAGAGAGAAATAAACTCTACTTTCCTTCACTGAAGATAGCCATCCTTCAGGTTTCTACCACCTCACAGACATCTCTTGGCTCTCTTTATTGCTGGCTGCCAAGACCTGAGGTTGGAGATGAAGACAATTATATCATGGAGAATTTTACTTTTTGAATAAGGTTAACGCAATTTACAGAGATTCAGTGTTATTACTGAGTTCATTTTAAAGTAGTAAATTTACACTATACTTATTATATATGTTATAGGAATCCCTTCTTCACAATGTATAGGAGAAGAGATGAGATACCTCTTTTCTCTAGTTCAGTATGTTCTTTCTACATTAATGACAAATAGCATCAAAGAATGTTTTTCAGCCATTTTAGAAATTTTAACACTAATTCTTGTGTCCACCCAAGCTATTACATTTTAATATACCAACATGGATTACCAGTTCCTATCAGGGCCTTAGAAAGCTGTATACAATAAATACAGCAGGCATGGCATTAATACTCTAAAACAGCTAGATAAATTATAGTAACAACATGATAGTTCATTTGTAAATATTTGGACATTTAAACTTTATTATTTATTTTATTTCATTTTTTGAGATGCAGTTTTGCTCTTGTCACCAGGCTGGAGTGCAGTGGCACAATCTCGGCTCACTACAACCTCCGCCTCCCGGGTTCAAGCTATTCCCCTGCCTCAGCCTCCCGAGTAGCTGGGACTACAGGCACGTGCCACCACGCCCAGCTAATTTTTGGTATTTTAGTAGAGACAGAGTTTCACCCTATTGGCCAGATGGTCTCCATCTCCTGACCTCACGATCTGCCCACCTCGGCCTCCCAAAGTGCTGGGATTACAAGCGTGAGAAGAGCTTCATTTGCATTCTCTGCCCAGTTATCAAATGAGTTCTTTCAGACTTCCTAAGCTCTGGGGAAACTGGCGGTCTTGTTGTCTGGAATACACTAATTAACAAATCCCCCTCAGGGATATATTTTGGCTCCTTAAACACTAAATAACTTAGATCTTTTACTACTCGGATTACTGTATCAACATACTATGTTTACTGTGAAGATTCTTTAATCATACCTTCTAAAGAAAATTTTAACTTCACTGTGTTACTGTTTACATAATTATTAGAAATAAATGTTAATCTTGACAGACGTCTTTAGGGACATGGAAATTGGATTTTTTTCAAATATCATATTCACTCATAATTCCTCAGTTTAAGTATAAATTCACTTAAACATAAACAAGATAAAATATTTTATGTCATATACTCCATAGAGATAAAATCTAAGTGAATGACTCATTGCTATGTAAAAATGATTAATTATATTGTGCCTAAAAAGAAAAAAAGTCAGGAACTGTACTTTCAGAAGATGGTATTATTATTAGAAAAATAAGGTACTTATATATAGAAATTTACAAAAAAATGGCAGTATAAACTCTTGGTAAAATGTGTTTATTTTGATGGAAAATGCTGTGAGAATTCACAGAAAGGAAAGACAATTTACTGGGGGCAAATAGTTTTTTAAAAATTAATTAATATATTTAAACTATTAGCCTCTTTTATATAAATTATGGAATTTTTTTGCAAGTTTTTGGTAAAATCATAAAATTTCTTTTAAAGACTAAGTGTCCCAACTTTCTTTATAGGGATAATTATAATTGCTGGTATCAAATGTTCACCCTTTCCAAACAGATATATAACAATAATTTATGCTTTACTTTCATATTTAGAAAGTAGATTCTTGTTCTTTGTTAGGTCCATAACTTTCATGTTTCCAGGATTGTTCCAGCCTAGTATTTTATAAAATATTCATAATTTAAATTGATTTACTTAACTGAATACTGGGCTAATTACTGCCTTTTAAATGCTATTTCACCATCAAGGTACATTAAAGAGACTACTGGAGAATGAAGAGTGGTCTCTGGATTGACATTCAATTGTTACGATATCTGTGGGGTTTTAGTTCTATTTCAGCTTCATTTTTGAAGCCTAAGAGGAAAGCAATAGAAATGCAATTACATGGCTAACCCACTCAGGTTAAAAATACTTATCAGAGATAATGGAGAATAGAGAAGAGCATGATTGACCTTCCTGGAGGGTACTACTAGTCAGGCTCTATTTAAAGCCATCAACCATCTGCTCTCCTGATCTTTGTATAGACCATAGAATCTATACCAGTCTCTTCACAGGAAAAAAAAAAAAAAGGCTCAATGGATGTTATATTGTCACAATTGTTTTTGATTTTGCTTTAAATTGAAACCAGATGGGTAGAAGCATTTATCAGCTCATTAAATTCTAAGATAGGGGTGACAGTTGACAGAGAAGCATCACATCAATAGCCAAAAAGTAACATCAAGTAGATGTGGAAACCTACACATTAGGACAGATATGAATGTGAAGAAAACTGTGGCTTGGATCATCTCAGCCTGCATTTTAGTTAATTCTCTAGATCCTCTATGCACTGTTTGAGACACCTCATTCTTTTTACGGTTTAGAGGCACATTGTCTAATATGGTAGACACTAGCTACATGTAGCTATTAAGCACTTGAAATGTGGCTAGTGCATCTTAGAAACATATACTTAATTTTATTTAATTTTAATTAAATAAAAAGTAGTTCAATCTGGCAAATTTTAATTTATATTTGAAATAATGTGGGCATGTGAATCTACTTCTTAAAATATAAATTTTATAAAATCTAAATACAAATCAAGTGTTTGATCTCAATTGAAAATTGCATGTTTCAAGACATGCTGTAAGTGTAAAACAAATACCACGTTAAAATTAATAATATAAAAAACACAGTATATCATTTAAAATGTGTATATAGATTAAAATGATAAATTATAATATTTTGAACATTGGATTAAAACATATTATTGAAGTTAATTTTCTAAAAGTGTATAATACATTTGTGGCTTTATATTCTATCACACAGCTGTGGTTTCCATCGTTACATAACTCTTCCCTAAGCTATCTATCAGAACTCTCAATCTTTGAATCTGGCCTTGACTGTTTCTCACATTTCTTTACATTATCAAGCCCTGATGATAAGGCATTTACTGTTTTTGATAATTGTCAACGTGGCATAAACAGCACTGCATATAATTCCCCATACTTACCAGAGTGTAAACTACTGTCCAGTATTAAGGAAATTTTAAAAATTAACTACCTACCTAACAGTCTTATTCTGCTTTAAAAATAAGACCACAGACTAAGGACAATCTACTGGTGACTTGCTGCTTGTATGACGTTTGTTAAAACATTCCCAATTAAAATTTGTTCTATGTCAGTTTATGGGGAGAGTGAAAAGAACAGTTTCTCAATAGCCTTAACAATAGTGATATATTTTTAAAAAAATAATAGCTCTACTAATTTAAAACAAATATAATCAGAGTATCTGCTATATATAAGCACAGGGCAAAGTATCCAGTATATAAATAGACTAAGTCTCAGTGATACATACAGGAGACAGGGAAACACTGGGTAGAGGAGGGAAGTTCCCCGGCAAAGGCCCCACCCTCAAGCCTGAAGACCCATGCCCCTAAGTGAGGACAGGTATTTCTGTTTTTGTGCCCCAAAAGTTGCCTTTTGGCCAACCACATCCCCCCGCATTCTGCCTCCATATAAACCCAAAATCTTAGTGGACACAGACACAAGTGGCTGAACATTGAGAGGAACAGAGGAACAGACCAGCAGACACCAGCACACACCAACAGACCAGCAGACCAGTGACAGCAGAATGACACAGATGCCAAGGGGAGTTCAGCCAGGGGCAGTCAGAGGAGAGTCCAGTTGCTGGGTGGCTCCACTCCATGGGAAGACCACCTTTCCACTCCATCCCACTTTCCAGCTCCCCATCCAGCTCCCTGAGAGACACTTCCACCACTCAATAAAACCTCACACTCATCGTTCAAGCCCATGTGTGATGAGATTCTTCGGGTACACTGGGCAAGAACTCCAGATACAGAAAGCTGTCACACTGGGCATCTTCCCTTGGGATAAGGCAGAGAGTCTGTTGAGCTGATTAACACAAGCCATCTGCAGATGGCAAAACTGAAAGAGTGCACTGTAACTCATGCCCACTTGGGCTTCAGGAGTGGCAGATATCCACTCCTAGAAGCTGTCATAGGGCTGGAGCCCAAGAAACCTCCCCACTGCCTCTGCACCTGGCCATCTGCATGCTCCCCCTAGTAGTTTGAGCAGCTGGGCGACCAAAGGAGCCAGCCTCACCCCTGTCGCAAGTCCTGAGAGGGGAATAAGGGATCTCTCCCATTTTATCAGGACCTGATGTACAGGAGTTTACAAGTAAATGAATGAGTAGTCACCATCGGGTGTAAGTACTATGATGGAAAGAACTGTGAGTGCTAAAAGGCGCACATCCTCAAAAAGGTGCAAAGTAAATTTCAGAAAACAATTATTAAATGACAGGTGTCAAGACATAGAGATGTGTGCTGCTGATGAAAAATACTAAACAAGGCAATATCCCTGCCTTCACTAAGTTTATACTTGGAGATAGGAAAGGCAAATCTATGAATAAATGACTTAGTGTTATAAATTATAGTATGAATAAATGGCTATAGAACTATAAATACTATAAATATAAATTGCCATTATTCATAAGAGCTAGGGAACAGAGAGATTTGATGTCACCAAGAATAGGCATTTTCTCCCAGGCAGAAGGAACATCACCAGTGAAGTTTGTGAAGTAATATAACCTGGCAGCTTCAGATATGCAAGTAGCCCTGGAAAGCTGCATATGGGGATATGAGGGAGGTTATGGGCACACGCTGTTTGCAGAAAACTTGTATCTTTATCCCGATGATTATGGGGAGGCAGCCTTATTCTGGGAGCCATGGAAGTCTACTAAAAAGTAATAATAATAATAGGACCTTCAGATTCCTTTTTACTCTGCCAACAAACTCCAGTTACATTTATTTACTGAAACAAAACTAGTAATAATAGGACTTGCGGATTCCTTTTTACTCTGCCAATGGACTCCAGTTACATTTATTTACTGAAACAAAACTACAAAAGTCTTGTTGAGTACATTTATGAGTTCTGGGCAGAATGCGCTTTTGAAAAGCAGTATACAAAATGTCTTCATTCTCCTGAGATAAATACATCTCCCTGAGTAATCATTGCTCATTTTTGGAATTCACAATAATGACAGCAACTAAAAAGCTTAACTCAATTTAGGCAATTAGACATGATATTAAGACAACATACTGAAATTGAGCCTCCATTTGTAAGTCCTCTTAAAAACTATACAGTGATGGTAATTATAAAAAGTTTCCTGATATATCCTTTTAAATAATCTATAAAGCACTTTAGCGTCATTAGCATTCCTGGATGGTGACAGTTCCAAATCAAATATGCATTCCAACTAGAAGCTATGACTGCCCTCATCTGTGCTCACAGCTCTCTTTTCTACACAATATATTAGTCAGTGAAGGTTCATGAATTGACTTTCTGAGGACACAAGCTGAGAAGCATTTTCAGCAATGCAAAATCCTTAACTGTGTCTATGTAACATTTTACTTCTCAAGGCTTCAGTGACTGATAATTAAAAATGAAAGAGAAACACATTCATCTATAATAATAAATATTTGCATTAATAATGAAGTCATTGATATGAAAAATTGATATAAAATCTAACATATCAATCAGTAAAATTGTGTTGGCCGTGGTTTTAAAACAATACAACTTCTAGATTAGTATTTAATCAAACTAAACAATAATCAGAGGGTATAGGAACTTAAAAATGGGTAGACTCTATATCCGTAGGTGCTTATATCACTCTTGCCAATAATAATAATACCAATTTTCATGTTTTTTGATTCAAAAATCTATAATAATGTTTTTATTTTATTTCAAAATTAGATATAACTATCTTAACCTGACCAGGGTACAAGAATCAAATTCTGTTTCATTCATGTGTGGAAACTTTTCATTTTAAACAATATTTTAAATTTAAAAATATAAAATATTTTAAGTTTTCCAAGCTAGGAATTAATAGATATATCATATTTTATGTGGATCACTTGCCTCACACTATTCAATCATTGGTTCATGAGTTTCAAATGGATTTTGAAGAACCCTTCTATAAAGGGAAATACGATGTTCAAACTGTATTTAAAAGCATACAAATACTCTCAAAAAGACATAGGAGAATTAACATTTCACTTAGTGTTACCCAATGCCAAGACCAGACAGATCGGGGAGACCCTAACCCCGTGGCGCTAGAGGAATTAAAGACATACACACAGAGAAATATAGAGGTGTGAAGTGGGAAATCAGGGGTCTCACAGCCTTCAGAGCTGAGAGACCTGAACAGAGATTTACCCACGTGTTTATTAACAGCAAGCCAATCATTAGCATTGTTTCTATAGATATTAAATTAACTAAAAGTATCCCTTATGGCAAACGATGGGATGGGCCAAATTAAAGGAATAGGTTGGGCTAGTTAACTGCAGCAGGAGCATGTTCTTAAGGCACAGATCTCTCATGCTAGTGGCTTAAGAATGCCTTTAAGTGGGTTTCCGCCCTGGGCGGGCCAGGTGTTCCTTGCCCTCATTCTGGTAAGCTCACCACCTTCCAGCGTGGGCATTATGGCCATCGTGAACATGCCACAGTGCTGCAGATATTTTGTTTATGGCCAGTTTTGGGGCCAGTTTATGCCCAGATTTTGGGGGGGGGGGGGCTTGTTCCCAACATGTCCCCCTTCTTTGATTTGCAAATCAATAAAAGCAAAGGCAGTTTTGTCACGGTGAGCTACTTCTCCCAGGAGTCAGGATCCACATCTGCAGACTATACAAAGACAAACAATACAGATTAAAAGCACAATCATCATTGAAATCACAGAGCTTCCAAGTGTTTTTATCCATTTTAATGGGTTACTAGCTGCTAACTTGTCTGAAACTCCTTCAAGCACTCCAGTTCCTGGCATTAAGATCAGGTGTGCCTGGGATGCTTTAAATATTTGTTCTTTTAATTTTGTTATAAACAAAAACAAGTTTGTAGAGTGTCCTTCTAGATGCTTTGTTATTCTTTCCCAAATTTTGATCTTATTAAGAGCTATTAATAGTTTCCACAAATCCTTATGTTTAGCTCCTACAGCGGGCCATATCATTTGAGGTTGAGGTGGCCACTATACCACCATGGTTCCAAATAATAAAAACTTTTGCCATACTTCTTATTATATCTACCATCTGACCATTTTGTTCAGATCAGCTTAACATAGCGTGGTCGTGGCACGCAGACTAAGAGGTGCAATTCAAGCTAAACATCCCCTTAGGGGACCAATCAATAATGATTCCATAGGAATCGTTGTGCAGCATCTCTGCCTGTTCTGCAATGCAATCTTCCTAAACAAGTGCGTTCATTATTTCTGGCCAGGTTCTATTTTGTTTACAAATAGGTTTTTGAGGGCAGTATGCCTCAATTATAGGAGCAGATTTAGTATGGTAAATACTGAGATCAGAAAGCATGTGTAACTGTGTCATAGAATGATTATATCCAGGCATTATTACCAGTCAGGATTGAAAAATATGCCCAATAAGTATAATTGTTCTCTGTGTCAGCCCTGGTTTAAGGAATACTCATGGCAATGGTGATCATCGCTATCATAGCTACCATTAAATTACTCACTGTGACTGGTTGTCTCGCTTTCCTCAGGTTTTCTTCCATCATCTGTGACAGCTTCTTGATCTGTCCCCAGGTGGGTGGCTGTGTTCAACAGGTGTTGCTTGTGACAGTTGTGGTCCTCCTCAGCATCAGCCTTGACATGGCTGCAACCAGGGGGTCTTTGGGATCCTCCCGGAATCTCTTCCTTGGCATCTGGCTCATGATGAGGTTTCAGGTGTCTTGATGGTATCTAAATTTGCTGTTGATTTTGTCCTGGAGAAATACAAGCATAACCCCACCCTAAGTTATTATTTTACCTATTTCCCAACTTTTTGTTATCAGGTCTCCCCACAAAATCAGTTGTTCTGCTTCTGTCTTTGCAGCTGGTTTCTGTAGGTGCTGTTCAGCTGCTGATAACATCTGGCCTTTGGGCAGCCTCAAAAAATTTAAGGTTAATAATGCTAGGTTCAGTTGCAACTGTGGGGCTCCATATTCTCTATTTCCCCCTTTCTGCTTTTGCAACTGCTGTTTTAGGGAAAGATTCATTCTTTCCACTATGGCTTGTCCTTGAGAATTGTATGGGATACCAGTAATGTGTTTAATATTCCACGTAGAGAAAAATGTAGCTAGAGTTTGACCAGTATAGCCTGGGGCATTATCTATTTTAATAGAGGCTGGAATACCCATCACCGCAAAACATCGCAGAAGGTGACATTTAACACAGGCAGAAGACTCTCCTGACTGGCATGTAGCCCAGAAAAAGTAAGAAAAGGTCTCCACACATACATGTACATAAGCTAGTCTCCCAAACGAAGGAAACTTGTGTGACATCCATTTGTCAAACAGAGTTAGGTTCCAATCCTCGAGGATTAATTCCTATAAAAGATGAGGAATGTACCATTTGGCAAGTTGGGCATCACTGGATAATAGCTTTAGCTTCTTTCCAGGTAATGCTGTATCTGCGTTTGAGACCAGAGGCATTAACATGGGTTAAATTGTGAAAGTGTCTAGCATTAAATATTGCATTAGCAACTAGGTGATCAGCCACTTGATTCCTTTCAGTCAAAGGTCCTGGAAGAGGTGTATGAGCCCTAATGTGAGTGATGTAAAAAGGGTGCATTCTACTTCTAACTGCTGTTTGCAATTGGGTAAATAAAGTCATCAGTTGTTCACCTGTATGAAATCGTAACTAAGCATTTTCATTTAACTGTGTGGAGTGAACCACATATGAAGAATCAGAAATCACATTAACAGGCATATCAAAAGCAGTCAATACCTCAATTACAGCTACAAGCTCTACTTTTTGAGCTGAAGTATAGGGCATCTGGAAAACTTTACTTTTCGAACCAGAATAAGAAGCTTTACCATTACCAGCCCCATCTGTAAAACAATGAAAATACTTAGCAGGCTGCAGGTTGTTTACCACAGGAATTGTAAATGCAAACCATTCACAGTCTTGCTCAGCTAAAGGGATAGTAAAGAAACAGTCTTTTAAATCTATGACTATTAAAGGCCAATTTTTTTGAATTATAGCAGGAGGAGGCAATCCTGGCAGTAATGCTCCCATAGGTTGTATTACTGAATTGATAGCTCTTAAGTCAGTTAACATTCTCCATTTACCTGATTTTTTCTTAATTACGAAAATTGGAGAATTCCAAGGGGAAAATGTTGGAGCTATGCGCCCATTTTCTAATTGTTCAATAATTTCTCTAAAACCTCCAGTTTCTCTTTACTTAGCGGCCATTGTTCTATCCAAATTGTCTTATCTGTTAACAATTTTAAAGGTGTACGTTCTGGAGGCTTAACGGCCACCATCAAAAATTATTTCCTAATCTTTGGCGGGAACTCTGCTTTTCCGCTTGAAGCGGTTATTTCAAACCTTGCAATTTTTTTTCTAGTCCCATACCAGGGACATACCCCATTTCATGCATCATATGTTGACTTTGAGGGCTATATAATTGTTCTGGAATTAGAATTTGTGCTCCCCATTGTTGTAATAAATCTCTCCCCCATAAATTTATAGGTACAGAATTCATAATTGGTTGAATAGTCCCAGGTTGTCCATTGGGCCCTTCACAATGCAAAATATAACTACTCTGATATACTTCAGGGGCTTTACCAACTCCAAATATGTTAAATTGAGCGAGTTGAATTGGCCACATGGACGGCCAGTGCTGTAGAGAAATGATTGAAATGTCCGCTCCTGTATCTACCAAACCTTTAAATTTCTTTCTCTGAATAGTTATTTCACAGGTAGGACATTTATCAGTAATTTGATTTACCCAATAAGCTGCTTTGCCTTGTTTATTTGTGCTTCCAAATCCTCCTGTTCATTTAATTTCACTTTTTCCCATTCCCACATACGGCACAATCAGGAGCTGTGCTATGCGCTCTCGTGGCTCTGCTTTCCAGGGAACAGAAGTAGATATAACAATCTGAATTTCCCCATTGTAATCTGAATCAATGACTCCTGTATGTATTTGTACCCCTTTTAAACTTAAACTAGACCTTCCTAAAAGTAATCCTATTGTCCCCGCTGGCAAGGGTCTGCAGACTCCTGTTGGGACCTTTCATGGGGGTTCCCCAGGCAGAAGGCTCACAGCTTTTGTGCAGCACAAACCTACTGCGACACGACTGGCTGTGGCAGGGGACAGACATTGTACAGGGGTGAGGGAATGGCCTGAGCTGGAAATGCCCCAGTTTAGAATGGGGCCCAGGACGGGCCCCTCATAGCATTTCCCGAAATCGGGTTACCTTCTCTATCAAACTTAGAGTGACACTGATTAGCCCAATGTTTTTCTTTTTTAAATTTTGGACATATTTCAAGATGAGCAGTTTTCTTTTTTCCCCTATCTGGCAGCCTGACTCACTGATTATTTCTACATTCTTTTTTAGTATGAATAGCTTGTTTAAATTCTTTGAGTAATTTAAAAGGAAAGGGCTCAAATGTAGCTATAATATTTCCCTGTTGATCTGGGGGGTGTATTCTAACAGGGAACTGCCAAGCCTCTAAATCACCCTCTCGTCTAGCTTGCTGAATTCCTGCCTGAATAGAATTAAGAGCGGTCGCTCGAGGCGCTGTTCGAACAGTCACTGCGGCAACTACTTTTTGCCGAGTATCCTCTGGAAAAGAAAGATCTGGAGGATCTCTTTCTTCAAAATAATGAGGGGGTGCAGAAGGGTAGGGATGAACCTCTCCTTCCTTTGCCGCTTTAGCTTTAGCTGGTAAATAAACATGCTGTGTAACCTCTTCTGTTACTTCGCTATACTCTCCTTCCTCCTCATCATCAGTGTGAAAAAGTTCCAAGGTGGAACGAACCAGACCCCACGCTTGTCCCATTGTTACTCTGATGCTTCCGAGCTCCCTTTCTTTTTTTTAATTTTATTTTATTTTATTATTATTATACTTTAAGTTTTAGTGTACATGTGCATAATGTGCAGGTTTGTTACATATGTATACATGTGCCATGTTGGTGTGCTGCACCCATTAACTCGTCATTTAGCATTAGGTATATCTCCTAATGCTATCCCTCCCCCCTCCCCCCACCCCACAACAGTCCCCAGTGTGTGATGTTCCCCTTCCTGTGTCCATGTGTTCTCATTGTTCAATTCCCACCTATGAGTGAGAACATGCGGTGTTTGGTTTTTTGTCCTTGTGATAGTTTGCTGAGAATGATGGTTTCCAGTTTCATCCATGTCCCTACAAAGGACATGAACTCATCATTTTTTATGGCTGCATAGTATTCCATGGTGTATATGTGCCACATTTTCTTAATCCAGTCTATTGTTGGACATTTAGGTTGGTTCCAAGTCTTTGCTATTGTGAATAGTGCCGCAATAAACATACGTATGCATGTGTCTTTATAGCAGCATGATTTATAATCCTTTGGGTATATACCCAGTAATGGGATGGCTGGGTCAAATGGTATTTCTAGTTCTAGATCCCTGAGGAATCAATCACCACACTGACTTCCACAATGGTTGAACTAGTTTACAGTCCCACCAACAGTGTAAAAGTGTTCCTATTTCTCCACATCCTCTCCAGCACCTGTTGTTTCCTGACTTTTTAATGATTGCCATTCTAACTGGTGTGAGATGGTATCTCATTGTGGTTTTGATTTGCATTTCTCTGATGGCCAGTGATGATGAACATTTTTTCCATGTGTTTTTTGGCTGCATATATGTCTTCTTTTGAGAAGTGTCTGTTCATATCCTTCGCCCACTTGTTGATGGGGTTGTTTGTTTTTTTCTTGTAAATTTGTTTGAGTTCATTGTAGATTCTGGATATTAGCCCTTTGTCAGATGAGTAGGTTGCAAAAATTTTCTCCCACTCTGTAGGTTGCCTGTTCACTCTGATGGTAGTCTCTTTTGCTGTGCAGAAGCTCTTGAGTTTAATTAGATCCCATTTGTCAATTTTGGCTTTTGTTGCCATTGCTTTTGGTGTTTAGACATGAAGTCCTTGCCCACGCCTATGTCCTGAATGGTATTGCCTAGGTTTTCTTCTAGGGTTTTTATGGTTTTAGGTCTAACATTTAAGTCTTTAATCCATCTTGAATTAATTTTTGTATAAGTTGTAAGGAAGGGATCCAGTTTCAGCTTTCTACATATGGCTAGCCAGTTTTCTCAGCACCATTTATTAAATAGGGAATCCTTTCCCCATTGCTTGTTTCTGTCAGGTTTGTCAAAGACCAGATAGTTGTAGATAAGCGGCATTATTTCTGAGGGCTCTATTCTGTTCTATTGGTCTCTATCTCTGTTTTGGTACCAGTACCATAGTGTTGGAAGTTCTGGCCAGGGCAATCAGGCAGGAGAAGGAAATAAAGGGTATTCAATTAAGAAAAGAGGAAGTCAAATTGGCCCTGTTTGCAGATGACATGATTGTATATCTAGAAAACCCCATCATCTCAGCCCAAAATCTGCTCAAGTGGTTAAGCAACTTCAGCAAAGTCTCAGGATACAAAATCAATGTACAAAAATCACAAGCATTCTTATACACCAATAACAGACAAACAGAGAGCCAAATCATGAGTGAACTCCCATTCACAATTGCTTCAAAGAGAATAAAATACCTAGGAATCCAACTTACAAGGGATGTGAAAGACCTCTTCAAGGAGAACTACAAATCACTGCTCAATGAAATAAAAGAGGATACAAACAAATGGAAGAATATTCCATGCTCATGGGTAGGAAGAATCAATATCATGAAAATGGCCATACTGCCTAAGGTAATTTATAGATTCAATCCCCTTCTTACTCACCATAGGGATTGCTTTAAGAGTACTCGGGTGTCCTCCAGCTAGTTCCACATTCTCCAACCGTCACTCTGATGACCCTTTGACCTGGATTGGAGCCCCCACAATGAACGCCACTTGCCGAGACCAGCTCGGTCAGGGAGACCCTAACCCAGCGGCACTAGAGGAATTAAAGACAGACACACATAGAAATATAGAGGTGTGAAGTGGGAAATCAGGGGTCTCACAGCCTTCAGAGCTGAGAGACCCAAACAGAGATTTACCCACGTGTTTATTAACAGCAAGCCAGTCATTAGCATTGTTTCTATAGATATTAAATTAACTGAAAGTATCCCTTATGGGAAACGAAGGAATGGGCTGAATTAAAGGGATAGGTTGGGCTAGTTAACTGTGGCAGGAGCATGTCCTTAAGGCACAGCTCTCTCGAGCTATGGTTTATGGCTTAAGAATGCCTTTAAGCGGGTTTCTGCCCTAGGCGGGCCAGGTGTTCCTTGCCCTCATTCCGGTAAGCCCACCACCTTCCAGCATGGGTATTATGGCCATCATGATCATGCCACAGTGCTGCAGAGATTTTGTTTATGGCCAGTTTTGGGGCCAGATTATGGCCAGATTTTGGGCGGCTTGTTCCCAACAACCCAATATATGTGTTACCCAATATATGTGCTAGTAATACAAAATCATCCTTAAAGAAGTGACTAATGTTCCAACACAATATGAGAAAAATTGCGTGTGCTTTCCTTATAGCAGCACAACTTCAAACATTTGACTGTGAGGCAGGTAGAATTCTAAGATGCGCCCATGCTCACTGCCCCCTGGGATATAATTCCCCTGCTTGGAATATGAGTAGAACCTCCCACTTTTTCTGAAGGAAATAATATAACAAGGATGTAATTAAGATCCCCAGTCATTTGACTCTAAGTTAATCAGAAAATCATCTTGGGTGGGCTTGGCCTAATCAGTGGGAGTTTTAAATAAGAGAGTCCGTACATTCTAAGAGGTAACATTCAAAGCAGCAGAGATCCTCTCTCTACAATGCTGGCTTTGAAGAAGCAAGCTGTAAAGAATTATATGGCTGCAAAGAAATGAATTCTGCCAATCATCCTGGGGAGTTTAGAAAGGCATCATTTCCTAATTGAGTCTCCAAATGAGAATGCAGCACAGCTGATGGCTTGCCTTCTGGCTTGTGAGGCCCTGAAAAGAGGACTCACAACTGTTTGTTTAATTACATTAAGAATAATGCCAAAAAACACGAGATTTCGTGTTTGTTACCATTAAAAGATTTTTAATTATATTCACCAGTGATTTTTAATCATGTACAAACTATATTGTATCAGAAAAGTTATTCCACCTCTCTGTGCCTACACTATATTGTAAAATTACAAGAAAAAAAAAACATGTAGTACCTGTCTCATATGGGCAGGAATAACTTTTCTGTTTTGCTGTTTAAAATCTAGTAGTGTATGTGCAAGATATTTTCACTGTGACATTTTGATTGACCTTTTCTTTTGTATTTGAGGCAAATATACTATCTGGGAAGGCAATGGCTGTATGTTCTTGATTATCTAACTTTGGTATAAGAAACACTTTCTGGTACTTGTTAAAAATGATGAACCAGGGATTTCTGGCTTCTACTTACAATGTTGGTAGCTAAAAAAGCATAGCTACTGCACTTAAAAATCCAAACAACAATTTCAAATTTATAAATGTTCTTGACCTTGTAAGAGAGCTGATGTCCTAGACGAGCAATTAACCTGAAATCTAGGGAAGGATGGCTGCTTCCAAAGATAGATGGGATATGGACAGTGGCTTATCTGGAGCAGGCACTGTCAAATATTAGTAAGAAAAACAATTAGCTAAAATTTTGAGTGCTGAAGGCTGAGTTTGGATTAGCATAAGGATAAAGAACCCCTGCAGGTGGTCGTCAAAAGATTTCTTACGGATTCATAGGCTCTTCTCTACAGATATAACTATGCTCAAGAAAGATTGAAAGCAGCTGACAGCTGTAAGAAGAGGGTCTTTCAAGGTTTAGGCATGAAGAGGGAAGTAGCAGGCTTTGCAGGAAAAGTTTGTGGTCCACCTGGATCAATTTTTCCTTCCTATCCTATGATGAAAGCCTCAAACTGCTGGGAGAAGCACAACAAACATTTTTGTTGCTGTTTATTGTTTTGTTTTTTTTCTTTTAATAGGTCACTGGGGAAACTCACTGCAGCTGGAATAATAGCACATTGAAACAAAATATTCTGCAACTTAACAAGGGTCAAAAATACGTGCTGGACCCACACTGATAGCTAAGGCCAGACAGGTTCACTAAGAAGAGTCCATTCCTAAGACTCAAGTAAATATACCGTGTTTACTTAAGACAAAATCCCAACAACAGAAAACGCCTAGACCTCCCATAACCAGGCTTGTAAGTGTCAAGTAATTTATAAGTAATGGCTGCTTTTTGCTGGGAGCAGGCATGGAGAGAAGTCTTAGAGTCTTGGTGCTGTTCTTCTTTATGTCGGTCTCAATTTTCTCCATCCATCATCCGTACTGCCACTAGCATCATAAGTTTACCAATGTAAATTGCATAGTAAGTTTACCAATGTAAATTTTTTTTTTTTTTTTTTTTTTTTTTTTTTTTTTTTGAGACAGAGTCTCACTCTGTCGTCCAGGCTGGAGTGCAGTGGCGCAATCTCGGCTCACTGCAAGCTCCGCCTCCTGGGCTCACGCCATTCTCCTGCCTCAGCCTCCCGAGTGGCTGGTACTACAGGAGCCCGCCACCGCGCCTGGCTAATTTTTTATATATATATATATATATATATATATATATATATATATATATATATATACACACACACACACACACACACACACACACACACACACGTATGTATATATATATATATATATATATATACACACACACACACACACACATATATGTAGTAGAGACGAGGTTTCACCGTGGTCTCTATCTCCTGACCTCGTGATCCGCCCACCTTAGCCTCCCAAAGTGCTGGGATTACAGGCGTGAGCCACTATGCCCGGCTGTAAATTTAATCATTTTTCTTTTCCTTAAAACTGTGAAAGCTGATTATATGAATTGGGTCATTCTTGTTATACCTAATTAAATCATAGTCGAGACGCTGGGGGGAAAATCACATAGCACCAGCTTCAATAATTGAAATTTCTGCAAGCCCAACTGCTATAACAGCCTGCTAGTAACTGTTGAAGCAAGCTGAAATAGCAGTGGCTCTAAGTCTAGGGCCTGCCAGCTCCCAAAAGCCTATCTACAGAGTCAATAAGCTTTCTTTCAAAAAAATTTATAACATCTCTCTTTATGATAAAGCTCCCAACTTTCTCTTTATTCTTGAAACATATTCAAGACATCAGGTCTGTGTGTATGCCCTGAACTCCAATTCTGTGATTCCAAATTAAATGTTTAATTTAGAGATTAGTCTCTAGATTTTTGCTCTGACATGGACAAAACCAACCAAATGTTCATAAGATCACACCCAAATTTGTATAGGTCTGTCTTTACACTGAACTTCAAGCTTCTTCAGAAAACAAGACAATGTTTTATATATTCTGAATATGTTTTTATATTTAATGTTTTCAGAAAGTATCATATCAACATACACATTTAACATAATGTGTGTGTCTGTGATTTTCCCTCAAAGCTAATGTTGAATTTATGGAACAGTTGAAAAACAATGATAGGTCTTGGATTCAGCAGTATCATAGAATCACAATAAATATTTTATATCTATAAAGCTTAATACAGTGTCTAGCACAGCAAGGCACTACCCAAACTATTTACTGACTCAAGTGAAATGTGTTGCATTTAACTGAATGGAGCTGGGCCTTTGTAGGAGGAATGGTAAGGTAAAAACACAGAGGAAAACTAAAGGACTGCGAGATTTTGAGGGAGCTCAGAAGTGGCAGTAGCTGCAGAATAAGGGAATAAGGTCAGCAGATGATAGGAAGTGGGAAAATGACTAAAACAGAAAAATATTAAAGGCAGTCAAGTAAAGGTTTAAAATCAAACACTACTTTAAAATGATTATAATTTCATAGTTCTTCAAATTCTAATTACTGAGCAGAGTGGGGGTCTCAGAGCTAAGAATTATTTTGCCACAGGTCTACTATTTCAACAATTACAGGTTGCTCACACCAGCCAGGCTGTGAAGTTTGTCATGAATATTATCGCATACTGAATTGTAAACACTTTACCACTGTAAAAATTACTGGAAAGAACACTTCATTAACGGTGCACATTACTAAAAAATGAGCTCAGCAATGTTAGAAGACGAGGACTTCTTTTAATAATCAAGATAATTTTTATGCACATACAATTCAGTGTTTACTGAATTGTAAACACTTTACCACTGTAAAAATTACTGGAAAGAACACTTCATTAACAGTGCACATTACTAAAAAATGAGCTCAGCAATGTTAGAAGTCGAGGACTTCTTTTAATAATCAAGATAATTTTTATGCACATAAAAGAATTATATTATCAACAAAGACACAGAAAACAAAAATACATCTGAAGTGCCCTCTAAAACAAGCAAAAATTGATCAATATCCTGTTTATATGCTAAAAGAATTACATTCTTTTCTTTTATTTATTTATTTATTTATTTGTTTGTTTTCTGAGAAGCAGTCTCGCTCTGTCACGCGGGCTGGAGTGCAGTGGCATGATCTCAGCTCACTGCAACCTCCACCTCCTGGGTTCAAGCAATTCTCCTCCCTCAGCTTCCTGAGTAGCTAGGATTACAGGTGCCCACCACCACACCCAGCTAATTTTTGTATTTTTAGTAGAGACCGGGTTTCACCATGTTGGCCAGGCTGGTCTTGAACTCCTGACCTCGTGATCCGCCCACCTCAGCCTCCTGAAGTGCTGGGATTACAGATGTTAGCCACAGCACCCGGCCAAGAATTACATTCTTAAATAAAAGCCCCAAACAGTTCCTTTTCTAATATAATTTTCTGTTCACGATTTACACTTGAAAATCGTTACATGTTTAACATATCAACTTTACATTCCTCTTCATGTGATACTTCCACATGCCATTTAAATATGTGATACTGTTACTTTCAAATAAGTCTTCATTTCGTACTTTAGTAAATACAATGCTTTTATCACTGTTTCTGCTTTTGAATGTCAATAAATTCACAACTTAGAAAAGCTGAAGAGTAATGTAACATCTAAATAGTAATGCAAAGTATGAGACAAGTATTTAAAAATAGGTACACACATATTTAATCAAATAAAATCATAAGTTCCCTATGTGAACAAAAGAGCAAAGAACAAATGGGCAAATACAAGCAACCTGTAGTCTGAGACAAATCCTATATTTATTATTTATCAAGAATTAATCAAGCTCCTCCATTTTTAATTAACTATTTTTGTTACTTGAAAATTCTCACTTTTGTCAAACTCAGTCCTACCCAAAGTCAGAATTCCATGAACTGTTAACAGATAGGCTGCAGTGAAAAATGGTTAGTGTTTAAAACACTAGTTTGGAATACTCTGGATTAAACAAAATTAAGTGCTGCAAAAATTCCCCATGTTTTCAGTGTGCTCAGAGTTTGGTGGGTGTCTCAGAGGAATATGTTGTAGGTAGGGCTTTGCACTTTATTTAACAAAAGAATTGGTCTTATTTTCAAGTAGTATTTTATTAAAAATTGAAATGTTATTTTAGAAATACCAAGCTACAAGATTTCTGATTTTTAACCATTCTGTGTATCTGTTGCTGGAAATACTTGAAAGAAACTACATGTTAAACATTTAAGGAGAGCTGAAATGGGTAGCATGATGAGAGTCGTTATTGATAATAAATGAGGTTACCCTTCTAGCACCATCATTGACCTGTATAGTCCCGGAGTTAGAAACAGAGCTTATGATAAAAGAGGCACATCAAGGAAAGCTTCCAGGTATAAGAAATTCTCAAAAACTAGAGGTCTAGTTAAAGTCTTATGTTAAAGACAGACGAGGATTTGGGACAGGAAGAATATATATCACAGTGGAAAATAAGGAAATACTGAGGTGTAAGTCTAACAAAATGTGCAAGATTTGTATGCTAAAACCTGTACATTACTAATGAACATAATCAAAGATGACTTAAGTAAATGAAGAGACATACCCTATTCATGGACTGTATTCATGGATGACAATTCTTCCCAAATTGATACACAGGTTTAATCTTTATCGCAATCCCATCATGATGTCTAATTGGTGCAACACCATTTGCTGAAAAAAATATTCTTCTTTTTCCATTTAATTATGTTTTTTCCATTGTCAAAAATAAGTTAGGTATATTTGGGTGAGTCTGTTTTGGGGTTGCCTCTTTTGTTCCATTGATCTACATATCTATTCCTCTGCTAATAGTGCACAGTATTGACTACTGTACCTTTTAAGTTGCACAATAAAATGAATCTCAACCTCAGTCTCACATTATACCAAAGCTAACACAAAATAGTTGATGAAGTTAAATTTAAAACTATAAAACAAAAAAATAGAGAAAATCTTTGAGATCTATGGTTTAGTATATAGGTCTTAGACTTGAAGCTCAAAGCATAATTCATAGAAGAAATAGTTGTATACTGGACTTCATCAAAATTAAAATGTTTTGCTCTTCATAAGACACCATTAACATCATTAAAAAACAGGCTACAGAGAGACAATATTTGCAAAACTTATAGCCCATAAAATATATAAAGTGTTTTTTAAAACTCAATAACAAAACAATTGGAAAAACAGGAAAAAGATTTGAAGAGACATTTCACCAGAGAGGATATACAAATGGCAAATAAACACATGAAAAGATTGTCAACATTATACAAATGGCAAATAAACACATGTAAAGATTATCAACATTATCAGCCATTAGAGACTTACAAACTTAAACCACAATGAAATATCTCTATATACTTATCAGAATGTCTAAAACAGTATATGGTGACAACACCAAATGCTCACAAGGAGGTAGAGAAACAAATCATTCATACATGCTGGTGGGAATGCAGAATAATACAGCCACTCCTGAAAAGTTCAAGTTTCCTACAAAATTAAGCACACAACTACCATATGATCCAGCATATGCACTTTCAAGTATTTTTTAAAGATAAATTAAAACATGTTCATACAAACATTTTAACGCAGATATTTATAGCAACTTTTTTAACAGCAAAAGTTAGAGTCAATCCAGATGTCCTTCAGTGGAGAATGATTAAACAAACTGTAATATATCTATACCAAAAACTACTGCTCAGCAATGAAGGGAAATAGGTTATTGATACACACCACAACTCGAGGGAATATGCAGAGAATTATTCTGAGTAGAAAAAGGTCAATTTCAAAAGGCATATAGTGTATGATTCTAATTATATAAAATTATCAGACAAAATTGTAAAAATTGAGACTATATTAGTGGTCGTCAAGAGTTAAGAATTAGTACAGCTGGGAGGGAAGTGGGTGTGGCCAAAACGGCAAACATGAGGGATCCTGTGGTGATGGGAATGTGCTGTATCTTCACTGCATATCACATCTTGATTGTGATATTATCCTATTGTTTTAAAAGACATTACCCTGGCGGAAAACTGGGTGAACGTACATGGAATCCCTCTGAATTTTTTTTTACAATTACCTGTGAATCTGTAAGTATCTAAAATAAAAAGATGAATTAAACTTTAAAGAATATGTTCAGCACAGGCAGATGTAGTATTTATGCATCATTTCTCAAATTTATTAAAAATCAAACCTCTTTTCAGCATAACATGAATAACTAGCTTTCAACAGGATTCCAACACTCTGAAAATTTTTATTTTTCAGTAGTAAATTAAGGTCCATGTGGAAACGACATTTCTGCCATAAAATGGTATTCTACTTACTCATTCTGTACATTCGTGTTCCCCAACATGAATCCAGCACTAATTTAGATGTGCATTAAACAACTGGAAAGCATATTCAACAACTTTTGAATGAAACATAAATGCTTTTTACTTTATTACGTTAGAACCTTCTTTCTTGACCAAGTTATATAACTAACCCATTCTTTTTTTATTATTATTTTTATTTATTTATTTATTTTTATTTATTTATTTATTTTTTTAATTTTTGAGACGGAGTCTCGCTCTGTCGCCCAGGCTGGAATGCAGTGGCGCAGTGCTGGCTCACTGCAACCTCCGCCTCTCAGGTTCAAGTGATTCTCCTGCCTCAGCCTCCGGAGTAGCTGGGATTATAGGCACGGCCACCATGCCCAGCTAATTTTTGTATTTTTAGTAGAGGAGGGGTTTCACCATGTTGGTCAGGCTGGTCTTAAACTCCTGACCTCGTGATTCACCTGCCTCAGCCTCCCAAAGTGCTGGGATTGAAGGCATGAGCCAATGTGCCCAGCCGTATAACTAAACCATTCTTTTATAGGCAGACAGAGATAAGAACAGCCTCCTCCTGCAAGGACAAGGTTTACTCTAGGGGAAACAACTTTCTGTAGATGGTTTTCTCCATTAAAATAACCAAAGATGTGGCCTGTGTATATCCAATGCTTTCTGCTAAAATTCACCATTTCCCAAATCTCCTAATGAATATAATGTTTGAGTTGCATTAACAAGAAAATATTAATGTTACATTAATATTAAAATTATGCAGGCCATTGTTCATAACGAAAAAAAATCAGAAAAAATATGATACGGAGGATGCATTTACTTAAGGTCCTTATAGCTTGGGAAATTTTAAGGAATATTTATATGTGCTAATTCAACCCTTACCAAATGAAGTGTAGCAGAAGAAATAAATCATAATACTGTTAAATTTTATAACTGAAGATGAAACAAGGTTTTCAAAGTCACAGATACATGGATAGAAGTGAGATGACAAAAATAGATTTCTAATCACAATCCTGTTCTCCTACTACTATAAAGTTGGGATTCCAAATTGCCTGAACATGATTAACACTGTCAGAGATAAAAATGTATAATTTCATAATTTTCTTGTTCTGATACTGCATTTTAACCTCAGAGTAAAATGATTTGGTTTAATACTGAGAAATTAGCAATGTATCTTACGTTACCTTCAATTAAAAACTAAAATCTTGGAAATACTGTATGTTTGTAAACTCTAAGGGAAATGTTTAAAAATCTCAATATATCAAAGAGATTTGGAAAAAAAATTGGAAAAAATCATACCATACTCAAAGGAAACAAGTGAAAGATAACCAGGCCATCTACCAATGCAATATAAATTTTCTCTAAAGTAAAAGTATGATTTGTCTTCACTAATAGTCACAAAGTAAAACAAGTTAAAAAGAAAAATTAGATGCATTTTTCTTCAAGTTTTGGTAAACAATTTAAGTAATGGTTTTGTAAGTGTATGTGGAATGCGAGTCTCTCATATCACTGGAAAAAGGACACTCTTCCAAAGGAAAATGTGGCAGTGTATATCAATATAGCTGGGACTACAGGCGCCCACCACGGCGCCCGGCTAATTTTTTGTATTTTTAGTACAGACGGGGTTTCACCGTGTTAGCCAGCATGGTCTCCATCTCCTGACCTCGTGATCCGCCCGCCTCGGCCTCCCAAAGTACTGGGATTACAGGCGTGAGCCACCGCGCCCGACCGTATATCAATCTTTAAATGTACATGTTTTAGGAGGGCTGGGTGCAGTGGCTCATGCCTGTAATCCTAGCACTTTGGGAAAGCCAACACGGGCTGATCACTTGAGGTTGGGAATTTGAGACCAGCCTGGCCAACATGGCAAAACCCCGTCTCTACTAAAAATACAAAAATTAGCCGGGCATGGTGGCAGTGCCTGTAATCCCAGCTACTCAGGAGGCTGAGGCAGGAGAATTGCTTGAACCCGGGAGGTGGAGTTTGCAGTGAGCTGAGATCGCACTACTGCACACCAGCCTGAGGGACAGAGGAGAGACTCTGTCTCCAAAAATGAGTAAATAAATAATCAAATAAATAAACGTATAAGCTTTGGGAAATAAAATTCAATTTCAAAAAGATAGTGTAGAAAAACAGAAGAGTTTGAAAAGGCCTAGATAAAAATGTTATGTCAGTATTTTTTAAATTCTGAGGTATTATAGAGTATCAGTAAAATTATGATAAGATAATGGCTAATACTTGTTGAGCGTATGCTTTATTTTTTTCTCATACTAATTATATGAGGTAAATGTTATCATGTGTATTTTACGAAGGAGGAGTCAATGGTTACAGACAATGAACAATTTGCCCGAAGCTATAATAGCCAAAGGCTGGACTCAAAGCTTAATTACTACTCATACTGCCTTAACAGAATACAAGGCAAACATACCAACAACATTAAATTTAAAAATGTGCAATCAAATGTTATATGTAGCATGAGCCTACCATAAATATGACGTTCTTTCTGGTTACCTATAAATCCACCTGTCTACCTACATAGTTTTCTTTCTGTCCATCTGGAAACACTTCAAAATATTAAACACCTCAACTTCTACCTAGACGTTAATATTTGGAGAATTGTCACTTCCTTTTTATTTATTTATAGTCTGAGTCTTTAAAAAGATTAAATTAAGAAAACCTTTTCCAATTTGTATAAAAGAAATAGAATCATATATTTTATAGAAAATAAATTGTTCAGAGAATGGAAAATAAATGTTCTATAAACAAACACTGGTCATAAGTGATTATAAAAAGGAAAAATAGATAAATATATATAAAATATTCATGTCCCATTTATAAGTGGGAGCTGAACAATGAGAACACATAGACACAGGGAGGGGACCAACACACACTGGGGCCTGTCGAGGGGTGAGGTTGGGGTAGGTAGAGCATTAGGAAAACTAGCTAATGCGTGTGGGGCTTAATACCTAGGTGATGGGTTGATAGGTGCAGCAAACCACCATGGCACACGTTGACCTATGTAACAAACTTACTCATCCTTCACACGTACCCCAGAACTAGAAATTAAAAGAAAAAAAGGCTCTTTCCTTTATAAATTAAAAAAAATACGCTACAACTAACGTCAAATGAGATATTATGTAATGGAAATCATGTGAAGAATGAATAATAGATTGATACCTCATAAAACTGAAATTGTTTGTTTTTCTCCTTTACATAAATCATTTACCCAAGAAAGTTTTGTGTTGCATTTATAAGAGTAATATAGGAATGAAAGTTTTGTTTTTTCCTCTTGGGCAGTGTTTCCTGAAAATATATTTGCTTAAAAGTTTAAGTGAAGGGCCAGGCACGTTGGCACACACCTGTAGTCCCAGCACTTTGGGAGGCTGAGGCAGGTGGATCACCTGAGATCAGGAGTTTGAGAACAGCCTGACTAACATGTTAAAACCCCATCTCTACTAAATACAAAAAATTAGCTGGGTGTGGTGGTGCATGCCTGTAATCCCAGCTTCTTGGGAGGCTGAGGCAGGAGAATCGCTTGAACCCAGGAGGTGGAGGTTGCAGTGAGCCGAGATCGCACTATTGGACTCCAGCCTGGGCAACAAGAGCAAAACACTGTCTCAAAAAGAAAAAGAAAATGTTTAAGTGAATATTTGAGTTAAAATGGTATTTGTATTTATAATACACATCTATAAAAAAATGAACTAACTCTGCTCTCTCAGACATCTAAGCTTATTTTCCTATTTTCTCAGATTTCATAACCTATGCCTACCTTTACATTCTTATATCCAGAATTAAAATATGTAAATTATTCTTCATACACATCAGAGCATATCCAAGAAGTGGGTCTTAACCAGAATTCAATGTGTCTATGCCTGATATCCAGGCTAGGGGGAAATAAAAAGACAAGCCTCCAAAAAAAAAAAAAAAAAAAAAAAGACAAACTAAACTATATGGAAAAAAACTAGAAAATGTGTTGTTTATTCATTCCTCCATATATTCTCAATTGGCTTTTTAAAATCAAAACAATTAAATCACCAAAAAGCTCTATAACTAGACTAATTAGCTTAGCCTGACCCCTTTACCTTCAATTGGGTAACATTTTCTAGTTAGGAACTCAGATCTGATAGATATTTCATACATAATGACATACACACACACACATACATATCCTTTATAAAAATCTGGGAACATCACATCATTACCTGACTTCAAATTATATTACAAGGCTATAGTAACCAATACAGCATGGTACTCTTATAAAAATAGACACATAGATCAATGGAACTGAATAGAACCCAGAAATAAAGCTACTTATTTGCAGCCAACTGATCTTTGACAAAGCTGAAAGAACATACATTGGAGAAAAACACTCTTTTCACTAAATGGCACTGGAAAATTTAGATTGCCATATATATAAAAATGAAACCGAACCTCTATCTTTAATGATATACAAAAATCAACTCAAGATGGTTAAAAGAATTAAACATTTGAAAAACTATAAAAATACTGAAAGAGACTGGGCACAGTGGCTCATACCTGTAATCCCAGCACTTTGGGAGGCTGAGGCGGGCAGATCACCTGAGGTCAGGAGTTTGAGACCAGCCTGGCCAACATAGTGAAACCCTGTTTCTACCAAAAACAGAAAAATTATCCAGGAGTGTTGGTGTGCACCTGTTGGCCCAGCTACTAGGGAGGCTGAGGCAGGAGAATCGCTTGAACCCAGGAGGCAGAGTTTGCAGTGAGCTGAGATCGCGCCACTGCACTCCAGCCTGGGCAACAGAACAAGACTCTGACTAAAATAATAATAATAAAAAAATGCTGAAAGAAAACCTAGGAAAAACTTTTCTGGACACTGATCTATGTAAATAATTTATGACTAAAACCTCAAAAGCACAGGCAACAAAAACAAAAATAAGCAAATGGGACTTAAAATAAAAGCTTCTGCACAGCAAGAGAAATAAGCAACAGAGCGAATAGACAACCTGTAAAATGAGAGAGAATATTTGCAAATTATTCATCCTACAGAATATACAAGGAACTCAAACAACTCAACAGCAACACCAAAACAGATAGTTGCATTAAAAAGTGAGCAAAGGACATGAATAGACACTTTTCAAAAGAAGAAATACAAATGGCCAACAGATACATGAAAAAATTTTTCAGCATCACTAATCATCAGAGAAATGCAAATTAAAACTACAATGAGGTATCATCTCACTCCAGTCAGAACAGCTATTATTAAAAGGACAAAAAATAGCAGATGTTTACAGGAATGGGGAGAAAGGGGAACTCTTACACACCGTTGGTGGGAATGTAAATTAGTAAAACCTCTATGGAAAATGGTATGAAGATTTCTTAAAGATCTTAGAACTACCATTCAATCCAGCAATTCTCCTATGAGGTATCTACCCAAAGGGAAAGATATTATATCAAAAGGATACCTTCACTCATACGTTTTTCACAGCATTATTCACAATACCAAAGATACAAAATCAAACTGTTTGTCACCAGATGAATGGATAAAGAAAATATGGTATATTTACACAATGGATACTATTCAGCCATAAAAAAAGAATGAAATTGGCCAGGCGCGGTGGCTCAACGCCTGTAATCCCAGCACTTTGGGAGGCCGAGGCTGGTGGATCACGAGGTCAGGAGATCAAGACCAGCCTGGTTAACACGGTGAAACCCCGTTTCTACTAAAAATACAACAATTAGCCGGGCATGATGGCGGGCGCCTATAGTCCCAGCTACTTGGGAGGCTGAGGCAGGAGAATGGCATGAACCCGGGAGGCGGAGCTTGCAGTGAGCCGAGTTTGCGCCACTGCACTCCAGCCTGGGCGACAGAGAGAGACTCTGTCTCAAAAAAAAAAAAAAAAAACAAAAACAAAGAATGAAATCATGTCTTTTTCAGCAACATGGATGGAACAGAAGGCCATTATCTTAAGTGAAACAAGTCAGGCACAAAAAGTCAAGTATCACGTGTTTTCACTCAAAGTAAGTGCTAAAGAAAAATGTGCGCATATGGATCTAGAGAGCAGAATGATAGGGGAGACTTGGAAGGATGAGGATTGCAAGGGAGGTAGATAATGTTAAATTAGTTTATGGGTACAATGAATACGTTATGGGTTCAATGAATACCCTGAAATCCTTGACTAGGCTACTATACAACCAATGCATGTAACAAAATTGCACATGTGCCCTATAAATTTGTACAAATAAAAAAATGCATAAGGTGTTTGTGAGAATAAAATAATGCACAAAAAGCACTTAGATGAAAGTACTCAGTGAATATAACTTATTATCATTTCTACCGTATTTCTACCATTGATTCTAAAATTTGGATAAATCTTAGTGCAGTGAGGAAGCATTAAATCTTATATTATTCATCAAGGTTCTTCAGAGAAACCATGTGTGTATTTGTGTGTGTGTGTACATATATGCATGGCTGTATGTGTATGCACATAAGAGCAATAAATTTATTTTAAGAAATTACTGTTTCTTCCTCAGGGTACTTCAGTCTTTTTCTCTTAAATACTTCAACCGATTGGGTAAAGTCCACCCATATTATGGAGGGTAATTAGCTTTACTGAAAGTCTATTGATTTAAATGTTAGTCACATCTAAAAACTATATCTTCACAGCAACGTCTACACTGGCGTATGGCCAAGGACTGGCTAATGCAGCCCAGCCAAGATGACACATAAAATAAACCATCACACCTAATTTGTGTGTGTGTGTGTGTGTGTGTGTGTGTGTGTGTTTAGTGGTTTTAGTATAGAAGAAATATGGTATTATTGAATCTGGATGCAACTATCTCCCTTTTTTGAAAAGTTCACTTTCCTGGGGCTATATTAAAGTGATATTGAAATGAAGATATTCTCTGACAACACTGGGTACATTTTTTAAATGTATTTTTTTAAGACAGACTAACAAAAACCCTAACAATTATTATGTAATGTGTGGGTTTTCTAATGAAAAAAATAGCAGAGATCACATCCTTAATAACTTGAGTGAGAGTCATTGTAAACAGAGATGATTCAATAGAGGTGCAGCTCAGAGGGTTCTGGTTGCTTCCAAGAATCAGAATCTGCCATAATTTCAGAAATACTGGGAAGCTTAATATGGAAGAAAATGATTCCCAAAGCTGCACATAAGTATTTGGGAAAAAGAATAAACCATCATTGGTTTTGGAAGGAGATGAATGGCTTTTTCAGAACAAGGTAACCAAGATTTCTTTGAAATGCATTAATTTAAAATGGAAAAAAATAAAACATTTGTCTTATTTTAATAACTTTTTTTCCCCCGAGAATATTGAGAATGAGAAAATGCCATTCCACAGATTTTAGATCTACTGAGACCAAGATTTTATCCGAAGTAATTGATTTGAGAGGTGATTCCAGGAAGCACCATTGGAGGAGTGAACAATTTCAGAAGAGCCTGTGAAGAATGAACTGATAAGCACATTACTACAATAGGCAGCCAGGGCTGAGCCTTGCTGTTGAAACTTTGGGAAATAGCATAGAATAGGTCTTAGAATTACAACAATTAATGTTTGTCAGTGATTGAGGAGTGCTTCTGATGGCACCAAACCCTGCCCTCCCAAATAGGCATTCTGGTTTGTGCAAGTGCTGTATGCACCTCAAAACTGAGAAAGCCTTCAGGCCATCATTTCTGGAATTGCTCATCTATGGTTATTGATGTGTATGAAAGTAACTAGAATCACCATAGCAAATTCTTTGCATACCAGACACACTCTGCCATAGTCTCCTTTTTTAGGAGTACTCTAATTAAGATAATTAGAGTCATCCTTGTTTTCTTACCAGTCTGCCAGCCTGAGGAATCTGCCAAAATAAAGTGGCAGCATATTCTTAGGTTTAATAAAACCTTTACTATGTTCCCTCATAGAAGCATCCCCACCCCCAACTTATCTCCCTGTGGGGACTAAAACTTCTCAGTCTGCAGAGGCTAAAGTTGTTAGAACAGAAAAAAATAAAATAAAACTTTTCCAAATAAATCACTGACAATGCTAGGGAGTGGTGCCTCTTAGATTCTCCTCCTTTATTTCCAGACCCATTTTGTTTGTAGCTATCTGGGACAATTAACTATATAATGGCCATTGGTTCAAAGTATGTTCCACAACTTGAAGGCATCATCCCAGATTTGCTCACGGGTCTTCCCCTAACTGGTACTTAAATTGTACCTTAAAAGTACCATTCCAGTTAGGCCATTAGCTTCTGAGGGTTGCAGTATTTGATAGGACCAGTAAATCTTACGGAGAAGTGCTCAGCACTTTGCCTTCCTGATTGTAAATTGTGCTTGGTCTAAGCATTTGAATGAGGAATCCCATGTTGGTATATCATTCTGTGAGTTCTTGGCTTAAAGTACTGGCCAAGACATAGTGAGCATGAAAGAAACACTCATAATTGAAGTGTATATTCAATTTCAGCTTATCGCTTTGTGCCATTGAATATTCACTTGATGACTTTTTCTAGCCAGTAGTACATGGCAGAAGAAACATTGTGCTAACACTGCCGCAGCTTGTTATTTGCCATTTGGCCAGGAATGTGAGTGAGGCTACCTAAGACCAATCCTTATCAGCTAGCCTCTCATCTTACCCCAGAGGCATAAGTAAGTCTGATATCAACCAAACTTAATCCAGATCTTTCATGCGTGTCCCTGTGAAGAGACCACCAAACAGGCTTTGAGTGAGCAATAAAGCTTTTAATCACCTGGGTGCAGGTGGGCTGAGTCCGAAAAGAGAGTCAGTGAAGGGAGATAAGGGTGGGGCCATTTTATAGGATTTGGGTAGGTAAAGGAAAATTACAGTCAAAGGGGGTTTGTTCTCTGGCGGGCAGGAGTGGGGGTCGCAAGGTGCTCAGTGGGGGTGCTTTTTGAGCCAGGATGAGCGAGGAAAAAGACTTTCACAAGGTAATGTCATCACTTAAGGCAAGGACTGGCCATTTACACTTCTTTTGTGGTAGAATGTCATCAGTTAAAGTGGGGCAGGGCATATTCACTTCTTTTGTGATTCTTCAGTTACTTCAGGCCATCTGGGCTGGGTGTATACATGCAAGTCACAGGGGATGAGATGGCTTGGCTTGGGCTCAGAGGCCTGACAAGATCAGCAGAAGCATCCTGTTGACTACAGAGCAATAATAAATGGGCGTTGTTTCAAGTCACTAAATTTTGGGATAGCTTTTTGAATAGCTTGTTATGGAGCAAAAGGCAAATAATATAAGTGAGGACCACAAGCCTGGTATCATAAAATAATTGTTGTTTATCTCAAATTTAAATTTAATGGGATGTATGCATTTTATATCTGGTACCTCTAGTTCTGAGACAAAGTAATTTTGACAAAGTTATTCCCACACATCAGATAAATAACAGACATTTGTAACTAGAAGGTGTTGTGTGATAGAAGACCTGGGTCTCTCTGTGTTATCTAAATCATGGGGAAAGAATAAGGACTAAGTAATGTTTGGATTACTTCTATTTATTTTTTTTTAATCTTATCATCTTCTTCACTTGTTTCAGTTTGAAGTCACCCTCTCATCCCACACACCAGAATTAAACTATAGTCCACAATTGAAAATTATAAAGACTGGACGTAAATGATTTTTATATAAAACATTTATTTTAAATTTATTTTTAATTTTTAAACGTTTGTGGGTGCATGGTAGGTGTCTATATTTATAGGATACACAAGGTGTTTTGATACACACATGCAATGTGAAATAAGCACATCATGAAGAATGGGGCATTCATTCCTTCAAGCATTTATCCTTTGAGTTACAAAGAATCCAGTTACACTCTAAGTTGTTTTAAAATGTACAATTAAGTTATTATTGACTATTGTCACCCTCCTTTGCTATCAAATAGTAGGTCTTATTCATTCTTTCTATTTTTTATACCCGTTAACCATCCCCACCTCCCTCCCAATCCCCTACTACCCTTCCCAGCCTCTGGTAACCATCCTTTTACTCTCTTTCCATAAGTTCAATTGGTTTGGTTTTTAGATCCCACAAATAAGTGAGAACATGTGATGTTTGTCTTTCTGTGCCTGGCTTATTTCACTTAACATAATGATCTCCAGTTCCATCCATGTTGTTGCAAATAACTGTATCATATTCTTTTTACAACTGGATACTACTCCATTGTATAAATGTACCACATTTTCTTTATCCATTCATCTGTTGATAAACTCTTAGGTTACTTCCAAATCTTAGGTATTGTAATCAGTGCTGCAACAAACATAAAAGTGCAGCTCACGTATGTTTATTGCGGCACTATTCACAATAGCAAAGCCTTGGAACCAACCCAAATGTCCGTCAATGATAGACTGAATCACCAAAATGTGGCACATATACACCATGGAATACTATGCAGCCATAAAAAGGATGAGTTCATGTCCTTTGTAGGGACATGGATAAAGCTAGAAACCATCATTCTGCGCAAACTATCACAAGGACAGAAAACCAATCACCGCATGTTCTCACTCATAGGTGTGAATTGAACAATGAGAACACATGGACACAGGAAGGGGAACATCACACACTAGGGCCTGTTGTGGGGTGGGGGGAGGGGGGAGGGATAACATTAGGAGATATACCTAATGTAAATGATGAGTTAATGGGTGCAGCACACCAACATGGCACATGTACACATATGTAACCTGCACGTTGTGCACATGTACCCTACAACTTGAAGTATAGGAATAAAAAAAAAGAGTGCATCTATCTCTTCAATATACTGATTTACTTTCTTTTGGGTATATACTCCTCAGTGGGATTGCTGCATCATATAATAGCTCAATTTTTTAGGTTTTTGAGCAACCTCCAAACTGTTCTCCATAGTGATTACACTAATTTACATTCCCACCAACAGTGTACAAGGGTTCCCATTTCTCCACATCCTCACCAGCATTTGTTATTACCTGTCTTTTGAATAAAGGCCATTTTAACTGTGGTGAGATATCTCACTGTAGTTTTGATTTGCATTTCTTTGATGATCAATGATGTCGAGCACCTTTTCATATGTCCATTGGCCATTTGCATGTCTTTTTTTAAGAAGGATCTATTCAAATATTTTGCTGATTTTTTCTATCAAATTGTTATTTTTTTCTTATAGAGTTATTTGAGCTTCTTGTATATTCTGGTTATTAATCCTTTGTCAGATGCGTAGTTTGCAAATATTTTCTCTCATTCTGTGGGTTGTCTCTTTACTTTGTTGATTGTATTCTTTGCTGTGCAGAAGCCTTTTTACCTGATGTGATCCCATTTGTACATTTTTTGTTTTGATTGCCTGTGCTGTGGGGTGTTGCTCAATAAATTCTTGCCCAGACCAAAGTCCTGGAGTTTTCCCAGGACAGTCTGTTTTCTTGTAGTAGTTTCTACTTTGAGGTGTTAGATTGAACTCTTTAGTCCATTTTGATTTGATTTTTTAATATGGTGAGAGAGAGGCATCTAGTCTCATTATTCTGCATTTGGATATCCATTTGCTCCAGCACCATTTGACATAAATGGTTTCTTAACAGTCTTGTGCAAATTCAGCCATTTAATATTTTTGTTGAAAATCACAACACTGGCCATTGCAATTGGATGATATATAAATATTAGTTAATTCATGAAAATCGCTATTTATCTACTTCTGCGTGCCAAGAACTACACTAAGTAACATGTATCATTTCATATTATTTAACAACTCCAACATTGTAAAGTATTAAATCCATTCCATATACAAAGATAATAGATTCCACCAGGATTAAGTGGTCTTTCCAAGGCTGGGCACAGGGGTTCATGTCTGTGATCCCAACACTTTGGGAGGCTGAGGCAGGATGATCACTTGAGCCCAGGAGTGTGAGACCAGCCCGGGCAAAAAAGTGAGACTCTGTCTCTACAAAAAGTAAAAAAATTATCCAAGTGTAGTGGAATGTAACTGTAGTCCAGCTACTGAGGAGACTGAAGCAGAAGGATTGCTTAAGACCAGGATCTCAAAGCTGCAGTGAGCCATGATTGTGCCACTTTACACCACACTCCAGCCTGGGCTGGATAGAGTGAGACCCTGTCTCAAAAAAAGAAAAAAAAAGTGTCGTTTCCAAGATCTTAGAGTTAGTGAGTGGTAGAGTAGAATTAAAATGTAACAACAGAACTTCCTTTGACTCCAATACCCCTCCCCCTGCCTGAGTGGTTCCACTGAAATTTAATACAGGAGGTGCAAACACAATTGCTTAGATGTGCCTTTTCAATGATATTTTTGAAAAACTGAATATTCAATAATTTTTTGAGAACATTAACTGGGCCTCTAACAGCAAAAAAATATGACTTTCCTAACAATTTCCTTGACTTGTTTTTTTTTTTTTTTTGTTTTGAGGGAAAGTGCATTTTTTTTCTTGTACTCTATTGAATTCACTTATCTCCTTTGCTGCTGAGAGAACCAACGTGATCACTCTCAGAATTTTTTTCCCTGGAAAAAAATTGTTTGTCTTTACTTGCAACCTTTTATCTTATCCAAGACTTATCCAATTCCTTACTGTCTATATTTTCTTTTGGCATCTATACGATGGGTATAAAAATATTGTCAGCTGGAAGCAGTGGCTGGCCGGGCGCGGTGGCTCACGCCTGTAATCCCCACACTTTGGGAGGGCAAGGTGGGTGGATCACCTGACTCAGGGGTTCAACAGAACTAGAATAAGATGAGTTAAGGAAGAAACCATGCTCCATGTGCTATGTATCTTATTTTCTTGAATATACATAAATGAAGCAAAATACACATAAAGTTGCAGGTGATCGCTGTTGATGTAGCAAATGCATCACTGAATCATTACCATTATTTAAACTGTAATAATTCAGGACTAATTCTGACAAACAGAGGGTAGTTTTTTTCATTTGTTAAAATGATTTTAACCATGGCATCAGTGTACACATAGTTTACCATTTACACAGCCAGGCTTCTTTGAAATTATAGGGAGCATTATAATTATTTTAGGAATGTGGTGTCAGTGAAGAATTTAAATCATATAAAACTTTGTACATAAAGTAAAATTGTATCAATATGTTGTATCAGACTATTTTAAAATAACACAATTTGCTAGGCATAAAAGTCAGCCATTCTGATGGACTGGTTAAATCCCAACGATTTTGTAGAGGCCGACTTCATTGTAGTCACCACTTATTAAATACAAGCACCAAGAGTAAGGTAAATTGACCTTAAATCTCATTTTTAAAGCAGCAGGTTATTCTTAATACAATTATTGTTAGTAATAATTATGAATTATTGCTTAACTCTGGAACTTACATAAATTTGGTGTATAAGGAATGGATTCATCCAACTCTCAAATGATCTGCTAATGGCAGCATTAGGCAGTCAGTTTGATTAATTTTTTAAATGAATATACTTAAATATAAACTAATGTTTCTTGTGACCACTAGCTGACACTTAGGCCCTCAAAGAGTGGAAAAGCTGTTGGGAGTCATTTAATCCCCAAATCTCTGATGTAACTAATTTAGGAAGAAGGAAATGATCTAACTCTACATTACCAATGCTCTTTGACAAGCATCATAGGAAACAGAAACATGAAAAATTTTCAATAACATCTTCCTTTACTTCAAAATCTAGGCCTTTCTGAGACAGACTTTAAAAGAGTTATGATATTTACCATAGGTCCAATCAAAGTAAAACATGAAGAGAATATTACAATCAGATTATTTGGTCACAGCTATCTCAGCCAAGGTCCAGGGTCCACAAGAGTGTGTGGAAGCTGAGCTTGGTGCATAAAGATGACATTATTCATTCATAGTTTATAATTATGACAGAGATGACTATATTAATGTTAACAGCAACTACTTTTAAATAAGTGTTCAATGTATATGAGACATTGTGATAATGCCTTTAGTTCAGGTAGAGAACATTGTGATAAGTGCTTATCTTTAGTTCAAATCAGTAGTTATTATTGTTCCCACTGAAAGATAGGAAAGATTAGAGCTGCAGAGACCAATTTGCCTAAGGTCATTGATAAAAATGGTTAAATCCTGAGTTTGTACAGAAATCTGGAAAGCTATAGTCTTATTTTGCCTATCTTTATTTCTATCATATACATAATAAAAATATTCAAATAAGTCTATTTTTGATAAAATTCAGGGAATGAAAAAGAACAACAGATATTTCAAATTAAAAATTATGAGTTTATTTTCATGTTATGTCACTGGCTAATAATATGACATTGGACAAGAAACTGACTCTCTGGGGCTCATTTTCATCATATGTCAAAGGATGCAATAATACATTAAAATTTTGATACTATGCATGTAAATATGTAATAGCATCAGAATGATCATCAGCATCACTTATTCTTCTTCTATTACCTTCTTCCTTCTTTTATAACATTATAATATTTATCAATGCTTTAAGTTAAATCCTATTATTCTCTTAAACTTATTATAAATACTAGATTCTCTCTGATCATGCCCAAAAAAGGTCTCAATTTTTTGCATTATCACTACTGGTATGTGGCTTAATTTTCCCATAATATGACTTTCTTAAAAGCAAGTTGTGACATCAACAACCTAACATCCAAATTAAAGATTGATTACTTTTAACTTGTTACAATGAGATTAACATATAGACCAAATATATTAAATAAAAGGCTGTCGAGATCTTACATTTTTCTTCTTTCCAATGTTCTGCCGTTTCTAATGATCTGATTTGTAGCACCTAGGCAGAGTGAAGAAAGGACTGTTTGTTCTGATATGAAGGGCCATAAACTAGTGATTTCATTTCCGGTTTTTGTTGTTAGGGAAAATTTTGGCCATTTCTGCAGACATGAAAGGTTGATACTCAAAACATCAGCTTACTTTTCTTTTCTTGTCATTCTATACTGTAAGACAATTGCTGTTGAATAAGAAAGATCGGAAAATGTTTGGAAGTCACCTGCCATGGCAGCTTTGATATGCAACACCAGTAGCATGACAGGAAATTGGGAGATAGCATTAAAGCATTATCTACAAGACAGAAAAGGTTTAGAGGAACTATGACATCTACATCTGTTCCTTATTATTTTTTGAGCCTTCTCTTAGTGTCTATTTTCCATGTGAGTCAATATTTGAAAAGCCTTTGCAGAGAAGCACAAATAAACTTTGTATTCTCTTAAATTCATAAATCCTACCATGTAATTTGCACTATAATATTTTTTACTTCAATTATCCATCTGTATTGTGTTAGGCAAGATAATGGTCCACCAAATATGCCTGAATCTTAATCCTCAGAAGTTGTGAATCTCTTACTTTACATGAGTAAAGGGATTTTGCTAATATGATTAAGTTCAGAATATTGAGTTGTGGAGATTAATGGGGATTATCAAGTTGTGCCCAATGTAATCACAATGTTTTTGTAAGGGAAAAAAAAAGAGAAATGAGAGAGTCATCCAGGGAAGAAATGAGAAGATAAAACAGGTTGGAGTGATGCAGGACCATAAACAAAGGAATGAGAGCAGCCTATAGAATTGGAAAAGACAAGAAAATGAATTTTTCTCTAGTGCCTCCAGAAGGAATGGAACCCATTTTATTTAGTCTTCTTACCCACAGAGTTGAGTGATAGTAAATGTGTGTTGTTTTAAACTACTAAGTGTGTGGTAATTTTCTATAGCAATAATAAGGAAGTTGTTAGCTGGAATAAAATACTGCTGTACCAAATACCTAAAAATATGGAGTTGGCTACAGAATTGACAATGGGCAGAGGACAGAAGAATTTTGAGAAGCAGAATGGGAATGGTCTATATGATTTATGTATAAATCTATGTAAATATATGAACTAATGTGTGTGTGTATATGTATATATTCCCATTTAGGTCAGAAGATGTTCCAGATTTTGTTTTCTCTTTTTTATTTACTGAAATTACCTGTATGAACACGTATGTTACCAACAACTGCGGTGCTGAAAGTGTGCCTGACAGGTTTATAAGAATTTTACACATATATATGTTATATATACATAGACAGTCCCAACTTACAGTAGTTTGACTTATAATTTTTTGGCTTTATGATGGGTTTATCGAGATGTAACCCTATCATAAGTCTAGGAGCATCTGGATTTACTTTTTACCTTTGGTGGATTTAGCAGGATGTAATCCCATTGTAAGTTGAAGAGCATCTCTATCTCTACCTGTGTGTGTGTACATATACATATGTTACATTTATTCTTTACTCTATTATATAATGACAACCAAATTCCTGTTTCTCATGAGAAAACTGGAGACTTAAATAAAGTAATGTCTTCTAAATGGCATAACATAACCAGTAAGAACTGTTGCCAGAACGTGAACCCCGATTTTGTTGCTTGCAGAGCCCACAATATTAACTGCCATGCTATACCGCTGTTAATCACTCTGCTTAATAAATACATCTCAATTTTAGTTGATTATTACGAGTAATATGTGACCTATGAAAATTTTAAACCTCTGCTTTTAGATTACCTACTTCAAGAATACATAAGTATATCACATCAACTGGCACTGATTTTTATTTCAAGCTTATCGAACATCTGAGTGATATATTACAGGTATCTTCTTGAGTCCCCTTCTGTATATACACACAAACACATAAAAAACATTTTATTTAACAATTCTAGAAAATAATTTTTTAAATAGAAACAGTTCACATATTTAAAGGTTGTCTCTGATCATGACTCTGAAGATAAGGAGTCACAGAAAAGTGCTTATGAACAATCAAACTAATTTTCACAGTTTTAAATTTCTACCATTGATTTTTGAATGTGAGCCTGAGGATCAATATCATGCAATTACTAGCTATGTGGCTGAGACGCAAAAACCATATTTTAAGGCAAATATGTGAAGGGAAGTGGCAGAATTTGTAAGCGAGTCCAACTGCTGCCCGCATCTGTAGCTTAGAATGTTTTTCTTAAGTTACATATAGACATTATGCTATATAAATAATTTATTCTATTGAAGGTCATAATTCATTATCAGATAAAGCAAATAATAGGATTATTAACATTCATTCATATTAAGATACATAGGGGAGGCAGAATTTTACCTTTATGCTTTAGTTTAGTTTTTCCCAGCTAGGCCTGATAATTAAATTGACATAGACAGATCAACAAGAGAAAGATATACAAATGTATTTAATGTAAGCTTTACCTGGCACAAGAAACTTCATAAGGAAATGAAGAGTTCAAAGGCAGACAGCTGAAAACTTATACACTGAATTGGACAACAAATAGTGAGTTGTGAAAAAGAAACTAAATTATATGATGAGGCTTAAATAATGAGTTATTTCAACAAGGTCTACACAGAATTCTCTTGGTCTCAACTTCTTCATATTAAGAATGTTGCTTTCCTCCTAATATAGGGAGGGCATCTTTCATATAGGGAGTTTCATCTCCTGCTTTTAAGAAACAGCAGTAAGGTCAGAGGGATCTTGTACCTGCTGTTTCTCAAGTGCTTTAACTCAAAATTGTCAATATGCCAGAATGGGGTATTTTTTAATTCTTCAGATCTGGATTAAGATGTATTTCCTGAAAAAACCAAGGATCAACTATAATGTATTTTCCATTGAAAATAGTTCAGAAAATGTTAATATTTTTAAAAGTTAATTTCATCAGTGGAATAAATTATTATCCAGGAAAAGACTTTTAGTAAGTGGAGTATATCTTTAGATAGTCATTAATAGATAATAAAATTGGAAATGCATTACTACTTCTTTTTTACACTGACCCTTAAAATTAATGGATTAGGAAAATCCCTGAAACCAAAAATTAGAGGCAGAGAAAAACCTGACAAATCTAAAATAAACATATGTACAATAGAACCAATTGTAGAGTGGAGTTAGATTTACCTTTTTTGAAGAATTATGAGGATATCTATGAATGCTGCAAGAAATCTGGTGTCCAGAAGCATGTTTCCTTTTGTTAAGTTTAAAACTCTCCTTGACAGCAGCTGACTGCAAATGATTCCAGGAGGTGGATAATAGCAATGAGTTAACTTAGCCTGGAAATCTTCCTATAGATAGCCACTTTCATTGTTCATATTCTATGTCACCCCCACCCCCAGCGTATGACAGAAAAAATTATTTCAGGGACAGACCATTTTATTGAATTCAATCCAAATGCAATATAAACAGACATAATTTCCCATAAGCATATTCTCTCAGTCAGGTGATGGTGTTAAAATTTATCTCTGAGGGTAATGACTGGCTATTTCAAATGCTGATATCTTCCCTCTGTGAGCGATAAAATTTTTTGATATCTAACAATGTACATTTAGACTGTGCTTTTTTCTTGAAGTGTTAATTTGTTCCAGTTTCAGTGCTGTTTTGCAAAATTAGCCAAGATATTTGTGTGTGTGTGTTTGTGTGTGTGTGTGTGTAAGTGTGTGTGTTTTACTTGCAAGCAAGACAAAACTACCTTAGGTTCGTGATGCTTTCTATAATTTCAGGCCTGAGAGGAAGTGTGATATAATAGAAGAAATGCAGAAAAAGAAGTTAGGAAGTTAGAAGATCTGGAATCCAGGCCAGGCTCAATGTGTGACATATTGTTCTCCATCCCCCTCATTATACACACCTCTCTTTACCAACTGGGGACTTTGGTTTTACATCTGTAAAATATAGTTTTGGACCTGAAGGTCCATTTTAGATCAAACATCTGAGTTCTATTAACAAACAGACACTGTGAGTACAGAATATCATACATGTCCTTCATATTTCCTCGGGCTCTTTCTGGAATATGCGCAAATTACCTGCTGTGTATATTCTTTGTGAATGTAATACACACTATCCATCGGCAGTACTGGCAACTACACTTGCAGATACATAGAAACTAATGGTACTTACAAACTAACAGTTAACCTGTCCTTCTTTACTATATTTTATCTCCTATAAAATGAGCCACACTCTCTTAATTTTCTGTGCCGTGACTTCAAGCAAAAGCAAATTTTAATTAAGAAAACTGCCCATAGATATAAAAATGTCCTTCTTGATCTTAGGTACTGACTGATCTTAGCAGCTCATCAATAAGAATCATAAGCTCTAACAAAGTTGTGTCTCACTCTTCTATATCTCCAAAAATTTATCTCAACCTATTTGCCTTGAAAGTGCTCTGCACATACATGTTGCTCAATAAATTTTCATTTTTCTGTTGATTGGTTGATAATTTTAGTAATGATAATTCTTTGATATTAGTAATAATAATAAAGTAATGCTTGATACTTGGAGGATTCTAACGTCCTCCAGTAGAGAACTATTTGGAAATGCTATATGAGTTTAATCCTAAAGTACAAAGAAATCAAAATTGACCTTGTCATTTGTTAACTCTGTCAGCTTCTCCACTCTTATATTATGCTGTGTATAACACAGTTAATAAAGCAGAAGGTTGGAAATTGCAGCAATTTCTATACTACCTATAAAACAGAACTCCCAGCTTTCTGCCTGTGTTGAAGCATCAACTTTCTATCATTTCATCCTGTTAACAGTTAAATCAAACAATTCTACACAAGTGGAACAAGTAAAACAACTGCCTATCAGGATAACAGAGTGCAGGATATGAAAATACATAAACTATTTTTTAAACTGAATGCAAACTCTTACATTCAATAAAGACCATGGAATGGTCCAGTCTAGTATACTTTATAAGCATATAGCATATCTTAAATGTATGGAATACCAATTATTCAAAATCTGAAGCAACAAATCTTATATAAACTGACTTTTTTTTTTCTTATAAACTAGGCAGTAAGAATGTATTTTTTTATAATGATCTCCCAGAGGCCTATAATATCTTAAAGTGTGCTGGAAAATAAAAGAAGTAGAGTAGACTTTGTTTTGTTTCTAAATGAAATGACTTTCATTGAATGCTAAAGTTCTGGTAACTATCAAATTATGACTTATAACTAACTAGTAAATATTTATTGTGTTTCATAAAGAAAAAAATGTGCAAGGTCTTTTGAGAAATGCAAAGATAGAGTTGCTTCCATTATGGCTGAATAAGAACAGCTCTGGTCTGCAGCTCCCAGTGAGATTGATGCAGAAGATGGGTGATTTCTGCATTTCCAACTGAGGTACCTGGTTCATCTCATTGGGACTGGTTGGACACTGGGTGCAGCACACGGAGGGTGAGCTGAAGCAGGGCAGGGCATTGCCTCACCCGGGAAGTGCAAGAGGCTGGGGGATTTCCCTTTCCTAGCCAAGGGAAGCCGTGACAGACTGTACCTGGAGGAACATACACTGCAGCCCAAATACTGCACTTTTCCCACAGTCTTAGCAAAGGCAGACCAGGTGATTCCCTCCCATGCCTGGGTCCCATGCCCACAGAGCCTTGCTCACTGCTGGTGCAGCAGTCTGAGATCAACCTGCAAGGCTGCAGCCTGGCAGAGGGAAGGGCATCCGCCATTGCTGAAGCTTGAGTAGGTAAACAAAGTGGCCAGGAAGCTCAAACTGCACGGAGCCCACCACAGCTCAGCAAGGCCTACTGCCTCTGTAGACTTCACCTCTGTGGGCAGGGCATAGCTGAACAAAAGGCAGCAGACAACTTCTGCGACTTAAACATCCCTGTCTGACAGCTCTGAAGAGAGCAGGAGTTCTCCCAGTATGGTGTTTGAGCTCTGAGAACAGATAGACTGCCTCCTCAAGTGGGTCCCTGACCGCCGTGTAGCCTGACTGGGAGACAACTCCCATTAGGTGCTGACAAACACCTCATACAGGTGGGTGCCCCTCTGGGATGAAGCTTCCAGAGAAAGGATCAGGCAGCAATATTTGCTGTTCTGCAGCCTCTGCTGGTGATACCCAGGCAAACAGTGTCTGGAGTGGACCTCCAACAAACTCCAAAAGATCTGCAGCTGAGAGGCCTGACTGTTAGAGGGAAAACTAACAAACAGCAAGGAATAGCATCAACAACAACAAAAAGAACATCCATTCCAAAACCCCATCTGTAGGTCACCAACATCAAAGACCAAAGGTAGATAAAACTACAAAGATGGGGAGAAACCAGAGCAAAAAAGCTGAAACTTCCAAAAACCAGAGTGCCTTTTCTCCTTCAAAGGATCCCAGCTCCTCACCAGCAATGGAACAAAACTGAACAAAGAATGAGTTTGACAAGTTGACAGAACTAGGCTTCAGAAGGTCAGTAATAACAAACTTCTCTGAGCTAAAGAAGCATGTTCTAATGCATTGCAAGGAAGCTAAAAACCTTGAAAAAAGGTAAGATGAATGGCTAACAAGAATAAACAGTGTAGAGAAGACCTTAAATAACCTGATGGAGCTGAAAACCACAGCAGGAGAACTTCATGATCAAATCATGAGTGAACTCCCATTCACAAGCTTCAATAGCTGATTCGATCAAGTGAAAGAAAGGGTATCAGCGATTGAAGATCAAATTAATGAAATAAAGTGAGAAGACAAGATTAGAGAAGAAAGAGTGAAAAGAAATGAACAAAGCCTCCAAGAAATATGGGACTATGTGTAAAGGCAAAATCTACGTTTGATTGGTATACCCGAAAGTGATGGAGAGAATGGAACCAAGCTGGAAAACACTCTGCAGGATATTATCCAGGAGAACTTCCCCAACCTAGCAAGGTGGCCAACATTCAAATTCAGGAAATATAGAGAACACCACAAAGATACTCCTCAAGAAGAGCAACTTCAAGACACATAATTGTCAGATTCACCAAGGTTGAAATGAAGGAAAAAATGTTAAGGGTGGCCAGAGACAAAGGTCGGGTAACCCACAAAGGGAAGCCCATCAGATGAGCAGTGGATCTCTCAGCAGAAATCCTAAAAGCCAGAAGAGAGTGGAGGCCAATATTCAACATTATTAAAGAAAAGAATTTTCAACCCAGAATTTCATATTCAGCCAAACTAAGCTTCATAAGTGAAGGAGAAATAAAATCCTTTTCAGACAAGCAAATGCTGAGAGATTTTATCACCACCAGGCCTGCCTTACAAGAGCTCCTGAAGGAAGCACTAAACATGGAAAGGAACAACCAGCCACTGTAAAAACATGCCAAATTGTAAAGACCATCGATGCTATGAAGAAACTCCATCCATTAATGGGCAAAATAACCAGCTAGCATCATAATGACAGGATCAAAATCATACATAACAACATTAACCATAAATGTAAATGGGCTAAATGCCCCAATTAAAAGACACAGACTGGCAAATTGGATAAAGAGTCAAGATCCATCAGTTTGCTGTATTCAGGAGACCAATCTCATGTGCCGAGACACACATAGGCTCAAAATAAAGGGATGCAGGAAGATCTAACAGGCAAATGGAAAGCTAAAAAAAAGCAGGGGTTGCAATCATAGTCTCTGATAAAACAGACTTTAACCCAAAAAAGATAGAAAGAAACAAAGAAGGTCATTACATAATGGTAAGGGGATCAATTCAACAAGGAGAGCTAACTATCCTAAATATATATACCCAATACAGGAGCACCCAGATTCATAAAACAAGTACTTAGAGACCTACAAAGAGACTTAGACTCCCACACGATAATAATAGGAGACTTTAACACCCACTGTCAATATTAGACAGATCAACGAGACAAAGGGTTAACAAGGATATCCAGGACTTGAACTCAGCTCTGCACCATGCAGACCTAATAGACATCTACAGAACTCTCCACCCCAAATCAAAAGAATATACATTCTTCTCAGCACCACATCATACTTATTCTAAAATTGACCAGATAATTGGAAGTAAAACACTCCTCAGCAAATGTAAAAGAACAGAAATCACATCAAATTGTCTCTCAGACCACAGTGCAATCAAACTAGAACTCAGGATTAAGAAACTCACTCAAAATGGCACAACTGCATGGAAACTGAACAACCTGCTCCTGAATGACTACTGGGTAAATAACAAAATGAAGGCAGATGTAAAGATGTTCTTTGAAACCAATGAAAACCAGACACAATGTACCAGAATCTCTGGGACACATTTAAAGCAGTGTGTGAGGGAAGTTTTTAGCACTAAATGTCCATAAGAGAAAGCAGGAAAAATCTAAAATCAACACTGTAACATCACAATTAAAAGAACTAGAGAAGCAAAAACAAACAAATTCAAAAGCTAGCAGAAGGCAAGAACTAACTCAGATCAGAGCACAACTGAAGGAGATAGAGACACAAAAAACCCTTCAATAAATCAATGAATTCAGTAGCTGTTTTTTTGAAAAGATCAACAAAATTGATAGACCACTAGGAAGACTAATAAGAAAAGAGAGAAGAATCAAATAAACGCAATAAAAAATGATAAAGGGGTATCACCACTGATCCCACAGAAATACAAACTACCATCAGAGAATACTATAAACACCTCTATGCAAATAAACTAGAAAATGTAGAAGAGATGGATAAATTCCTGGACAAATACACCCTCCCAAGACTAAACCAGGAAGAAGTTGAATCCCTGAATAGACCAATAACAGGCTCTGAAATTGAGGCAATAATTAATAGCCTACCAACCAGAAAAAGTCCAGGACCAGACAGATTCACAGCCGAATTCTACCAGAAGTACAAAGAGGAGTTGGTACCATTCCTTCTGAAACTATTCCAATCAATAGAAAAAGAGAGAGTCCTCCCTAACTCATTTTTTGAGACCAGCAGCATTCTGATACCAAAGCCTGGCAGAGACACAACAATAAAAAAGAATTTTAGACCAATATCCCTGATGCACATCAATGCGAAGATCCTCAATAAAATACAGTCAAACCGAATCTAGCAGCACATCAAAAAGCTTATCCACCACAATCAAGTTGACTTCATCCTTGGGATGCAAGGCTGGTTCAACATATGCAAATCAATAAACGTAATCCATCACATAAACAGAACCAATGACAAAAACCACATGATTATCTCAATAGATGAAGAAAAGGCCTTTGACAAAATTCAACAGCCCTTCTTGCTAAAAACTCTCAATAAACTAGGTATTGATGGGATGTATCTCAAAATAGTAAGAGCTATTTATGACAAACCCACAGCCAATATCATACAGAATGGGCAAAAACTGGAAGCATTCCCTTTGAAAACCCGCATAAGACAAGGATGCCCTCTCTCACCACTCCTATTCAACATAGTGTTGGAAGTTCTGGCCAGGAAAATCAGGCAAGAGAAAGAAATAAAGTGTATTCAGTTAGGAAAACAGGAAGTCAAATTGTCCCTGTTTGCAGATGACATGATTGTATATTTAGAAAACGCCACTGTCTCAGCCCAAAATCTCCTTAAGCTGATAAGCAACTTCAGCAAAATCTCAGGATACAAAATCAATGTTCAAAAATCACAAGCATTCTTATACACCAATAACAAACAGTCAAATCATGAGTGAACTCCCATTCACAATCGCTTCAAAGAGAATTAAATACCTAGGAATCCAACTTGCAAGGGATGTGAAGGACCCCTTCAAGGAGAACTACAAACCACTGCTCAACAAAATAAAAGAGGACACAAACAAATAAAAGATCACTCCATGCTTATGGATAGGAAGAATCAATATTGTGAAGATGGCCATACTGCCCAAGGTAATTTATAGATTCAATGCTATCCCTATCAAGCTACCAATGACTTTCTTCACAGAATTGGAAAAAACTACTTTAAACTTCATATGGAACCAAAAAAGAGCCTGCATAACCAAGACAATCCTAAGCAAAAGAACAAAGCTGGAGGCATCATGCTACCTGACTTCAAACTACATCACAAGGCTACAGTAACCAAAACAGCATGGTACTGGTACCAAAACAAGACATATAGACGAATGGAAAAGAACAGAGGCCTGAGAAATAACACCACACATCTACAACCATCTGATCTTTGACAAACCTGACAAAAACAAGAAATGGGGAAAGGATTCCCTGTTTAATAAATGGTGCTGGGAAAAGTGGCTAGCCATATGTAGAAAGTGAAACTGGATCCCTTCCTTACACCTTATACAAAAATTAATTCAAGATGGATTAAAAACTAGACCTAAAACCATAAAAACCCTAGAAAAATACCTAGGTAATACCATTCAGGACATAGGCATCGATAAAGACTTCATGACTAAAATACCAAAAGCAATGGCAACAAAAGCCAAAATTGACAAATGGGATCTAATTAAACTAAAGAGCTTCTGCACAGCAAAAGAAACTATCATCAGAGTGAACAGGCAACCTACAGAATGGGAGAAAATGTTTCAATCTACCTATCTGACAAAGGGCTAATATCCAGAATCTACAAAGAACTTAAGCAAATTTACAAGAAAAAAACCATTAAAAAGTGGGCAAATGATATGAACAGACACTTCTCAAAGGAAGACATTTATGCAGCCAACAGACACATGAATAAATGCTCATCATCAGTGGTCATCAGAGAAACGCAAATCAAAACCACAATGAGATACCATCTCATGCCAGTTAGAATGGTGATCATTAAAAAGTCAGGAAACAACAGACGCTGAAGAGGATGTGGAGAAATAGGAACGCATTTACACTGTTGGTTGGAGTGTAAATTAGTTCAACCATCATGGAAGACGGTGTGGTGATTCCTCAAGGATTTAGAACTAGAAATACCATTTGACCCAGCCATCCCATTACTGGGTATATACGGAAAAGATTATAAATTGTGCTACTATAAAGACACATGCACACGTAAGTTTACTGTGGCACTATTCACAATAGCAAAGACTTGGAACCAATCCAAATGTCCATCAATGATAGACCAGATTAAGAAAATGTGGCACATATACACCATGGAATACTATGCAGCCATAAAACAAGGATGAGTTCATGTCCTTTGCGGGGACATGGATGAAGCTGGAAACCATCATTCTGAGCAAACTACCACAAGGACAGAAAACCAAACACTGCATGTTCTCACTCATAGGTGGCAGTTGAACAGAGAACACGTGGACACAGCGTGGGGAACATCACACATGGGGCCTGCCAGGGTTGGGAGGCCGGAGGAGGGATAGCATTAGGAGAAATACCTAATGTAAATGAGGAGTTGATGGGTGCAGCAAACCAACATTGCACATATATACCTATGTATCAAACCTGCACGTTGTACACATGTACCCTAGGACTTAAAGTATAATAAAAAAAGAGAAATACAAAGATAAAGAAGATATTTTTTCTTCTTTGAGTTTATTACTAAGATGACAAGTGAATCCACAAATATTCCATAATATTCTTAACTCTCCTCAAATAAAATTAGCATTCTGTATGATAATAAATCTCATTATGTGATGATGAAAGGGACCTTTTAATAATCAGGCTAAAGCAAAGTTTTAAACATTTCTCAGTGGATAAAAAAAAGTCTTAAAAGGAATACATGTTTTTGATGGCACCTATTGTTTTCTAAATTAAATACAGATTTGCACATTTGGCATTAATAGCATTTCATACCATAACATCAACCTACTTAATTTTCCCTTATGAGCTCCCAAATCATCCCTATTTATGCCACTAATGAGTTCAAATTGAATTTTTGTATTTTCTAAATACACTCTTTGCATTCCAAACTCAGTGCCTTTGCTTATGTTGTATTCTCTGCTTGAAACATCACTACTTATGAATAAAAATTATATTGGTCTTTAAAGGTTCAAACCCATGTCTGTCACCTTCTTTGAGACTTTCTAATCTCACTGCCCTTTTCACAATTGTAATGGTGCTTTGCTTGAATCTATATGCCAAGGTATATTTTTGCAAAGTAAAAACATTTGTAAGGTATACACCACTATATAAATACCAGTTCTTTTCCTTTTTTTCTCATTTCTTAAAATCTCATATATTTGATAAGTGTTTTCTGTAAGTTAACAATTCTAATGACAGAGACAGAAACATTAACCAGAATTTGCAAGAGAGTGACATAAGAACTATAACCAACAGAATAAAGGGACCTTTCATCATCACATAATGAGATTTATTATTATAAAGCATGCCAATTTAATTTTCTTTCTTTATGAAAGAAAAAACAGAAAATAAGCAGCAACAAAAAAATCAAGAATCAAGAAATCCATCTCGGATGATTATGTGGGGATTTGAAGAATAAATAGAAATGAAACAGTTGTGTGCTAGTGAAAGTGCATTCCAGCACATGTAACAATATATACCAATGCACAGACTCATGAAAAAGCATAAAGCCTTTCAAAATCAGCAAGTATTTAGGTTCACCTAGAGTTGTAAGTGAATGAGAATATATGAGTCTAGAAAAACAGCCAGTTAAAACCCAGCCTTAAAAATATCTTTGAACCTAATTTGAAAAGCATGGCTTGTCTCAAACTGGTATATCAGAAAACCCATCCTGGCCACCATATGAGGCATAAATTAGAGGTATCAGTTTGGAGAGAAGACATTCATTTAGGTCACTGAGGAATTGTAATCAATAAATACTAAGATATGTAGATCATGGGAATGAAAAGTTGGGCAGCTGTGCTTCATATTAAGGAAGTGGAATTTTTGAATTTTGTTAGTGGCTTCATAGGAGGTATTGAGAGTTAGAGGAAAAAAATAGGATGAGTGTCAAATTTCTGGTTTCATAACCCAAGTTGCCACTTGTTGGGCGTGGTTTGATGAGGATGAGCATGTTTGATGGGGAAAATTGCTATTTCTGGCTTGTGGTATGGTGAATATAGGAGGCCTGTGGGACTCTCAAGCGAATACACAGTTGGACACACATATCTGAGGCCAGGTGAATTCCAACAGAAGGGCCAGTGGCGTCTGAAATCCAGCCTGTGCCCCTAGCACTGAGGCCTTCACCAGGGCCCAGAGCTGCCTCTATCCAGAGGAAGGGATGTCACGTACTACAGCATCCCTCCAGAGAAGAGGACTTTTTAACATACTTAAAAGTCCAATTTATGCTAGAGGTGGGCATGTGCATCAGAGTGACTGTGGATGGAGATAAATACAGAAGCCATACAGGTAGTCATTTTTAATGGAATATTTTTTGAAACTGTGAGTAAGGACACAGGTAAGCAGTATAGCCCTTGTGTTCAAATTCTTTTTCCTGTTTTTACCCTCAGGCAAAACAAGTTACCCCTCTAAGGCTCAGGCTGCTCAATTAAAACTAAAGGCATAAAACACTTAGCTTGGAGTACTGTTATGAGGATTGAGAACAATATGTACACCATGCTTTCACTAAAGATCCTGGTACCTAGTGAGAAACTCATGCATATAAATACTATTATTATTACTTACCACTATCATCATCTTGTTTACAAATTTTTTGATTTTCCACCCCATTCAGGTCAGTTATACATGGATGGCATAGGTTGGCTAAGGAGCTGTACCATCTAAGCCCGAGCTTCTTTAGTCAGGCCTGCAAATTGTTTTATTTCCCAGTCTCATGAATTCTTTTCCTACATGTGGTGGGTAGGACAATGGACCCTCTAAAGATGTTTACATCCAAATCCCTGAAATCTGTGAATATATGACTTTATATGGCAAAAGTTACTTTGCTGATTTGATGAAGCCAAGATAGGGAGATTACCCTAAATTGTCTGAGTAGGCCCAGTTTAATTACCAAGGTCTTTATTAGAGTGAGGAAGGAGAATTGGGATCAAAAGAGGACTGTGACAATGGGAACGGAGAGTGGAGTGATGTGGGGCCATGAGTCAAGGAATGCAGGTGGCCTCTGGAAGCTGGAAAGGGGAAGAAAACAGATTCTGCCATAGAACCTCCTAGAAAGAATGCTGTCACATTTTAGATCTCTAGAGCTGTAAGACAATAAATGTGTGTTGTTTTAAGCCTCTAAATTTGTGGCAGTAGGAAATAAATACATACTCCCAAATTCTCTTTCCAAATCTTGATTGAAGCAATCCCATTTTTTCATTTTATAAGTAACCATAAATCATCACATCCTGAAATAGAGCAGATTCTCACCCCTCTTGTTCTTATTTTTTGCACTGCATCAGGATGTGAAATTACAAAAATGTCCTTGTTCATATTTCTCAAATTGTCTTCTTAGGAGCTTTGCATGAAGCCAATTATTGACTTGTAGCTTGTTTGAAATTCAGATGTCAAAGGATTTATGTCTGCTCCCATAAAATTCTCTAGGACACATTCCTATTTTCGAATAATATCCCTGAATATCCCAAAGCTTTTAATGTAAATTCAGAAATTAAGCTATATTCAAGCTCATATGATTACCATACACATATGCACAAATACGAATACACATAAAGAAGTATCATCTAATTCCTAAAAGTTTACAGTTATCACATTTGGCTTGCCAATTAAAAATATAGGCCAGGCGTGGTGGCTCCCGCCTGTAATCCCAGCACTTTGGGAGGCCGAGGTGGGCAGATCACGAGGTCAGGAGATCGAGAGCATCCTGGCTAACACAGTGAAACCCTGTCTCTACTAAAAATACAAAAAAAAAAAAAAAAAATAGCCGAGTGTGGTGGCAGGCACCTGTAGTCCCAGCTACTCAGGAGGCTGAGGCAGGAGAATGGCTTGAACCTGGGAGGCGGAACTTGCAGTGAGCCGAGATCGCGCCACTGCACTCCAGCCAGGGCGACAGAGCAAGACTCCGTCTCAAAAAAGAAAAAAAAGAAAAAAAAAAAATATATATATATATATAGGGAGAGAGAGAGAGAGAGAGAAGAAAGTAATGAGTCAGAAACTTTTACTATTAATATAATGTTCAAAATTGAATCCCTTAGGACTAGCATAATTCTACATACACACATGCACACACACATATATATTTTTCTTTTTGAATAAAGAATGTATCATCAGGAGCTCAGCTGAGCTATAAATCAGGTATCAGAGAAGCTGATTAAAACAACAAAGAGACAAAATGAGAGTAACACTCTTTAAGCCTTTAATTGCTTACTACAATGGTAAAAACAAAGGCTAAAGCCAGAGTAAGTGCCCACCCTCCCTTTTCCATTTTTCCCACAGAATGGAGCACTAGTCTAAGATCGGGTGAATCAACTTAGACATAGAGGTCTCTATTCAGGGAGCCCTGAAAAAAAGTCTCTGCCAGTTTTATGGCTCCTGAGCAAAGGGGAAAGGGCTATGAGTTAATAAACACTGGGTGCTGAGTCAGAATGGAGAGAAATATCTTCATGATTTCCTCCTTTGCACTGCCTTCCTGGTAAGGATGTCTTGACAGAGATGCCTAAAGAAGACCTTGATGAAGGTTTCAAATAAAGAGGTCTAAGAATAAAGACACTGGGGCTGGGAATGCAAATAGAGGAGGATGTGATGGGTCAGGGGACCCTGAGTCCTTGACTACAACTCCCTTCAGACACTGCAGTGCATTGAATGTGCGCCAAGTCTGATCTGGGGAGAGCAGCTGAACCCCTGAGAACCCCTGAAGCCTGCCAAGTAAAGCTTTTGTAAATACCTATGGTCGTGCCTGAAAAATTACATACGGGTTATTTACCAGGGTCCAGATTCCTTAGAATTGAAATTAAACATATATAGAGATGATGTAATTCTATAAGTCAATTTCTGAACAAATGAGATCCTCAAACTAATTTCTTCATTTCCTATATATGAAAGTTATATCCATGAATTTACTTTCCTAGTTCGACAAGAATATACTCTTTCCGTATCCTTATGGGTTTTTAACTTAATCAAGGAATTGACTATTTTGTTCTGTAATCAGGAAACTATAGGGCAGTTTCAACTATTGGACATCAAAAAATCATGAGTAAGGATACTTTACCTATTTTAATAAGTAAGAGATATTTAATAAGGTATGCAGACAAAATTATTTTTCTAGGAAACTTGTGTTTAAGACAATTACTATATATATATATATATATATATATATATATATATATCTCCTCAGTATTTACTGTGAATCAAAGTTTAGCTGCAATGTATAGTAGTCCTAAACTTAATGTATTATAGTTGATTCCATTGATTTGAGAGAGCATTTAATCACTTGTAAATTTAATCACAAGTAAAGAACCTTGACTTTAAGTATTCTGAGATGAAAATAGCACTTTTTATTTGTTTTTCCCAGTAAAATTTTCATAAACAGCTGTTACTTGCTCTGGTTTAGACAGGTTAAGATTATATATATATATATATATATATATATATATATATATATATATATAAAATAATTATTATGTATATATTCAACACTTCTAAGTATCTTATTATGCATTAACACAAAAAGAAAAAGGATGACTTAGCTAATCTGAGAGTCAGAAAATCTGAAATCCATGGCTTTATTGCATGTATCTTTCATGGCATATTCGATGTAATTTTTGCCACAGTGTGCCCTGATGACTTGAGAAGCATCTTCTTAAGACGACATAAAAGATCAGAATGAGGATTAACTAGCACAAAAGTGTGATTACACCACACAGTGTTGATTCTCCATCAGCTCTGCATTTTTTTTTTTTTTTTTTGAGACGGAGTCTTGCTGTCTCCCAGGCTGGAGTGCAGTGGTGCGATCTCGGCTCACTGCAAGCTCTGCTTCCTGGGTTCACGCCATTCTCCTACCTCAGCCTTCTGAATAGCTGGGACTACAGGCGCCTGCCACCACGCCCGGGTAATTTTTTGTATTTTTAGAAGGGACGGGGTTTCACCGGGTTACCCAGGAGGGTCCCAATCTGCTGACCTTGTGATCTGCCTGCCTTGGCTTCCCAAAGCGCTAGGATTACAGGCGGGAGCCACCGTGCCCGGCCTCAGCTCTGCATTTTAAGAGCAGAACATGCCGGGCGCGGTGGCTCACGCCTGTGATCCCCAGCGCTTTGGGAGGCCAAGGCGGGTGGATCACGAGGTCAGGAGATCGAGACCATCCTGGCTAACACAGTGAAACCCCGTCTCAACTAAAAAAAAAAAAAATTAGCCGGGCGTGGTGGCAGGCGTTTGTAGTCCCAGCTACTCGGGAGGCTGAGGCAGCAGAATGGCGTGAACCCGGGAGGCGGAGCTTGCAGCGAGCCGAGACCACACCACTGCACTCCACCCCGGGCAACAGAGCAAGACTCCCTCTCAAAAAAAAAAAAACAGAGCAAACACTATATATATATATATTTTTCTAACTGGATTTAAAATATATACATACATATTTATTTTTATTGAATCAGTTTATTTTTCATCAAATTTTGAATAAAAATTAATGCATTTTTGGTCAGATTTATAATAGCTATTGAATAACCTTTATGTGTCTAATTTGTTATCTTCCAAAATAGAAATCAAAGCTATGCAGGAATGCATCACCTTATTTAGTCACTATATAAAATACAATGTCCAGTGTTTTACATGCATTTTTTGGAAATGTGGTAGGTAGATCCTTAAAAAAGTAAGTGAATTGTTAGACTGTTGATGAAGACAGCCTTATGTCCCCCTCAGCTTGACTAAATGTTAGATTTATTCCTGACTATAGGCCCCTAAGTTCTGTTTTCTTAGAGCACTGACTTTAGAAAACTTTCCATTGTAGACTTACTTTATCCCTTTGAGATATAAAGCCTTTTGTTAGTTTTATACCGGGAATGTGTTTCTCCAGGACCCAAGATCCTTCCTTTTGACATGTATTAATCAAGAAAAATAGTGCTCCTAGAGGTAATTTTCTGAGGATAGAAACCTAGCTCCCACAAGTGCCAATTAGCAAACACAGATGGCCTAATCACATTGTCCAACCTCCTTCCTAATGTGTTCCGTTATTTTTCTACTCACTCATCCTACTGGTTAAACATTCATGCCTTTTATTTGAGTGGAGTCCTGCCTCCACCCCACCACATTTTTGTTCAGATGTCCAGGGCAATTTTTCTTTCACATCATCGTTCTAGGATCTCTGTAGATTATAGAAGTAAGAATGAGATTCAGAAAGTTCAAGAGCATAGACTAGATGATTATGCAAAGCTCGCCACCATTCTATAACATAACAAGCCAATAAACTAACATGATCAATTAATCAATAGCCACACTATGAAAGCTCAATATGCTTACCCACGGATGGCTCAAATCCTCAAGTTTAGCTATATTATTTTAAGCAGCTCTACTACTGCTAAAACACTGCTCCTATCCTCCTTTTGCTTCCTATACAAATGTACATGAATAACCCAGGGTTTTTAAGAAACAAAACAGCTGTAATAAATATAGAAATATTTCAAATAAATAAAAAATTATGCAAGCCAGCTGGGCACGATGGCTCATGCTTGTAATCCCTGCACTTTGGGAGGATGAGGTGGGCAGATCACTAGGTCAAGAGATCGAGACCATCCTGGCCAACATGGTGAAACCCCGTCTCTACTAAAAATACAAAAATTAGCTGGGCGTGGTGGCATGCACCTGTAGTCCCAGCTACCCCAGAAGGTGAGGCAGGAGAATTGCTTGAACCCGGGAGGTGGAGGTTGCAGTGAGCCAAGATTGTGCCACTGCACTCCAGCCAGAGCAAGGCTCCATCTCAACAAAAAAAAAAAAAAAAAAAAAAAAAGGCAAGTCTATATATCTCATTGAAAGCAAGTACACTGATATTATACATTAGGCTGTCAGATTCTTAATAAGGGGGCAAAACAATGAGTTCAGTCTATTGTAGACTAAAAACATATGAAAAGAAAGCACATTATATTGGTAAGCTGTGTACTTAAAAAACACATGAGAAATAAGAACCAGTTTATTATATTCAGTAAATAGATATGAATAATTATTTCACTTATTGAAGCTTTTTAACACAAAATCCTAAGAGACAAAGTATTTTCCATAGAGGCAAAGAGTGAATAATGCACTTCAGTCAATCTCTTAATTCATCTTTTCCAAAGGATGGAATCATGATATATCGTGAATAAATAAAAGGGTGGCTTTTCTGTCTTCCAATCCCTAAATATTCATATAAAAATATATGCCTAGAGGATTATTCCAAACAATCTCAATTATTTTGAACAATCTAAAATACTTTGAATGTTTACTATAGATTTAAGAAAAAAAAAAAACCTGGTATAAAATTCCTCAGAGGGAAAAAGTCCATGAGGAGGTAGCCTGGTACAATGAAAAACAAGCAAAAACAGTATAGCCTAAGAAATAGAGATCCAGCTCTAACATGTAAATGCTGTGTGTCCTTATAAAAAGTTGCCTACCTTCTGTGAGCCACACTTTTTCTGTTCTGTAAAGGAAACACAGTAATATCTCATGGGATTGTTGAAACACTAAATGGGATAACAAATGTATAACACCTAGCATGTTGCTTACATGGAAATTGAGACTCAAGAGTCCTTCCATATTTGAGGTCACGTAGTTTTTCCCTATAATTTCTCTGCATTAGTCAATTTCTGCTGTCTACACACACAGAAAATGCCTTCCAGTATTTGAGGACACCTTAAGTGTACAAATACACTGACAAGTATTCTCTTCTTCAAACTGAACCTTTTCAGTTTCTTCAAAATTCTAGCTGTTTCAGGGTATGCAGGTCATAAACCATCTTGGTTGTACTTTCTCATTTTATTTATTGCCTTCAAAGTACAGGAGCCAGAAAAGGAAGTCCCCTTCAGCCATAATCCGATCAGTTGATAAGGATCTGACCCTCACTTGTTTAGAAGGATATACTTCTACTAGAGCTGTCTGTGATTACATTATTGATTTGGAGGACTCTGTCATTCAAGAGGACTCCAACTGAACTGGCAGGCAACCAGAATCCTCTAGGCTTTTTGAAACAGGATGCTTCCTTTCATTTATTTGTTTTTTTATATTATCACATACATATACGACACAATCTTATTTTTAAACTCATTTCTACAGAGGAAATAGTTTTATCATCTTCCAAGCTCATGAAACTTTTGATGAAAACATTAAGAAAAGCAAATTCAAAAGGAGAAACTGCATACGATCTTATGTAATGCTTATATTCAAGTATTGAGTGATGTGTAAGATGAAACATACAATGATATAATCTTCTACCAAGCTGAAGTATTTCAGATACATGCTTCATTCTAGGCACTACTGCAATCTGTATCTACAGAACAAAATAAACAAATACCTTTGAGCATCTACTAAAATTTATATATTATTAAAATATATATATTATTAAATATATTTAATATATAATTAAAATATATATGATTGAAATAGAAAAAACATTTAAATGTAAAATTAATAATGTGAGATTTACCTTTAGAAATAACTCGTGTGCTTTTCTAAGCAATTGATTTAGAAATAATTATTTTTTACTATAATTTTTTAGTCACAAAATCCAGATAAAATTGCTGCTAATTTGTGCAATCACTGGGTTCTTATTTAGTGTTAGGGTTTCGGACTCCCTTTCTCATTTATTTTTTCTATTATTTAATATTTATATAATAATATCTTGCTACTATTGCTATTATAATGCAATGTAACATGAACGCTACCACGTATAAGTGCAAAATACTAAAGGGCCGCTACTACCAACTGAAAAAAAATCGAGGCTACATAATTGAGACATGCAAATGAACTGAGTTTTTTTGTTTGTTTATTTGTTTTTAGGAGAAGTGTTTTTATTCAAATAAGTATTCCTAATTCTCAAAGACGTGACGTGGAACCAGACTTATTTTATATCCAGTATCTTACAAAATACAAAGCAACATGCCGGTTTTGTTAGCACTTTTACTCCGGAGTTGGAGTGATTAGGTTTAAAACTTAGCTTAAGCTTCGCCAGCCATGTGATCTGAGGCAAGTGATTAAATTACTCTGCGTGTCAATGTTCTATTTGATACAACGTGAACTAGAGTAATAACTCTACTGCATGATTGTTTTGAGTAGTAATAGCTGTATATTACTCTGTAGAGTCTTTAAAATAAAAAAATCTATTATTGTTACTATGAAGAAAATAAATCTGCATGTATAGGGATATCCTTCTTATGCCCACAACTGACCATTCTATAGCAGTAATTTATAAAGATCAAATTGGTCTCTGGCAGTTGTTCTTGGGTATGTGAAAACAAAGAGTCATCAATGACAGAACAGGTCCATGGTGATTTCTGCCCTGGAAGAGCCCCGGAAGTCAAGAAGCTGTGGCACTGTCTATGCCATATAGAATCTCTAACCAGAGGCCGAAATCATCTGCAATCACTTGGACTCCACAACAATAGTGATTCATTTTGGAACCAGACTACAATGTGTACCATTCATAAGTAAAACAGGTATAGGCAAGACAGACAGGTTTATATCTACTACTTTTACCTCAAGTAGGAAAACTCCCTCAGAGATCCCCAAGAGTGGATCACCATTCTAAAGTGTCATATCTTGCCTGTATATCTTGCCATTTGTATGACACTGTTTATACATATACTCAACATACCATTTCATTAGATCATGATGATAAATAAGTCTGTGAATTTGATAATGGGAGAATTATCCCATCTTGTGGAAAAAGAAACTGAGGTTCACAAATAACTCACTTAGGAAAAGACAGTAGGTAAGTGGCAGAAGCACATGTTGACGTCTTCCTAAATGAATTCTGAAGTTAGTAGAATATTTATTACACATGAAGGGAGGAAGTAATTTCACTTATTAAATGCCATCGGGGCAGTGGGACCTGGACACTATTGAACCTTGATGAGATGAATGTTGAAATGCTGATTGTGTCGAAAAATTAGAAGAATAGAAACATAACTGAAATAGAAATTCTGTGTACTAATAATCAGACTACAAATCATAATGCTTTAACTTCACAGGTGTACACTAATGTTGGCCATTTTCAAACATTATTTCAATATATGTTGACTTACTAATTTTTCCAAAAATCAAAGGTAGTTTTGAGAAGCCACATCTGAAAATATATGCACTATTAAGCTGATTGACCTTTTGGGATTTTAAATAATACATAATTGATTTTGTCTTTTTACTAAATGTATTTGTTAAGGAGATTGGACGGCATGCTTGTTATGTAGAAATAGGGCTTTATTTATTTATTTATTTTTAAACTTTTTTTTTAGATGGAGTTTTGCTCGTGTTCCCCCAGGCTGGGGTGCAATGGTGCGATCTCAGCTCACTGCAACCTCTGCCTCCTGGGTTCAAGCAATTCTCCTGCCTCAGCCTGCCTAGTAGCTGGAATTACAGGCACCTGCCACCACACCCAGCTAATTTTTGTATTTTTAGTAGAGACGGGGTTTCACCATGTTGGCCAGGCTGGTCTTGAACTCTGGACCTTAGGTGATCCACCCACCTTGGCCTCCCAAAGTGCTTGATTTAATTTTTTAAAAATCACTTTGATTCCAAAACAATGGTGATTCATTTGGGAACCAAAAGACAATGTGTGCCATTAATGCATTTTTTAAAAGTGTGTATAGACCATGCAAACAGGTTTATACCTACTTCTACCACTCCAGAGAAAACTCAAGTGTTATTGCTGATAGAATGAGTGGATATAGGAGTTGGAAATGGATACTCTAAAGAAATACTAACACAGGATGTTCCTGAGACAGTAAAGTGGAACAAGCAGCAAGACAAACTAAGAAAAATTTAAACGAGTTCATATTTTCTTCAAGGCTAGGGATGCGGGGGAGGTGTGTGTGTGTGTGTATGAACTTATTTTGAATTTAGGCCTCTGTTCCATTTCTTTGTGTTTTTTTTGCTGCTACATTGAGTCAATGAACCATACGGCTATTCCTTTCTCATCTAGAAGAAATGCATTCTTCTTCTTACTAGAGTTAAAATAATAAAGGAAAAGAAAACAGATCCACATCCTTGTGTGTGCTGTTGCACAGCTGCGGTTTATGCTGATGGTCTATCTTGAGGCTACAGTTAGCATTTTAAGTGGATGTATTCTGTTCTGAGCAACAAAAGGCAATTATACTCTTTTACTCAGAAAATCACTCACTTATTATACTATAATTAACGCAGAGATGCTGGTGGAAAGGTGCGACTTGAGCAATCAACAGCAAGTGGTTTATATTATATATACATTATATTATATATTATATTTATATTTATATATAATATATATTCTATATATATAATTTCTCCAATATTTTTAATATATGTATGAGAAATTATATTTTCCTTATTGTTAATTTTACTCTGTGGGACATTTTGATGTTTTAGACATTCATTTGAAAGTGAATCTCTTTGGTTTAAGCAACCTTCAAAAAATTAACCATACACTATTATAATCACCATCTTTAATCTAGATTAGCACTTCATAAATTGTGGGCAGATATAGGAGAATGCTAATTGTGATGTTCGTGAGAAAAACGGACGCTAAAATACAGTTCTGTAATCAAATAAATAAACGTTAAATGGAAATGGAAAGGGAATGACCTTGGGGATGGGAATTGATATTTTAAAAACTAATATGGATTAATGCCTACTTCAAACCTCTCTGGTGGTGGAAGGAAGCAGTGGGGATTTTGTATGTGTCATATTTCTTAATTTTGCCGAAGAAATCACCTCCTGCTTTAGAAAAAAAATGAGGTAGGATCTTATCTGTATCACTTACTAGGCATGAAATAGATGAAAGTTGTGGCTGTAAGGCTGTTATCACTTCTGTAAAATGTATGTGTGTGGAAGTCATTTTGAGCTAAGTATGCAAAGATCTGGCATTTAGTTGTAAAAGGAAAATAAAACCTCAGGACCCCAAACTCACTATGTCAAAGGGAAAAGTTAAGCTTGTCAACTGAGTCATGCAAAAGCTGCCTTCTGTTTGTCCCCTGACAGCTGTAATTCACATACTTACCTTATCTTGTATAAAATGTAGATTTACTGAGTGTAACATGAATGTGCAGTTGACCCCCACTCAATCTTTTTACATCTAAATTATAGATACACTGACGACCAATAACAGACACATAAGAATGTAACCACTTGCTTCATTGCCTACCTTCTCTCACATTTCCGTCCTTTTTCTTCCCTTCCTACTTGCGCTTTCCCTTTAAATATTGAAGTTGCAAAATTCTCCTTTGGAAAAAACACAGTACATGGATCCTACTGGGACTTGTGTTTCTTTTTTCCCAAACGTATCCTCAACCTTGATAAAATAAACCTCTAAATCACTTGAGATCTGTCTGCCTCAGTCACCTTTTGGTTTACATAGCATAGTGGTATGGATATTTAAATAATATATGAGACCATTTTAAAATAAAATACTTTTGAAGAAATAAATAGCATATTTTCTCTTGATAGTATTACTTCTAAATGCAATCCATTACATAGGTAAAATTAAGTAACTGCAAACTTGGATAAATAATACTATTGTATAAAGGTTATTTTTCCTTTAAGGAGAATCTTTTTAAAAAACCTTAGTACTTTTGAATTCATCATAGCCCAAATAGTATAGCATGGTCATAGCATGGTCATCAATAAGAAAGCAATAAATAGCTTTAATTATAATTAAAATTTTTATTTCTAATATTCTGATTGTACACTTATGAATTGTATATTTTGTTTCTGAATAATCTTTTATTGTTATTTTTCTTAAGAAAGGGATATAGCTTTGTTTAGAGTTCATAATTAGGAAGAGAGTTTTCAGAGTTCAAACAAATTTCATACTATGTGTTATGCAGCCAGAAGTAAATTCTTCTTCAGGTTACCCATTTTAATCAATTTTGCTTAGCCCCAGGCATAGAGAACTAAACAGAAATGCAAGTTTAATTGTTTTTGTACCTCTCTTCCCTTAGACTGAATAGAGTTTTCTTTGTATTTTCTCCCATCATTAAGCATTTCTAAGCATTTTCTTGGACTCTTAAAAGTGTCCTGTGGCCCTTTCTTATAAGTGGAGAATGGGAGGTTATAATTCTAGGGAAAATTGGAGTTCTCCTGAAGACTACTGTGTTTGCATTTTGTTTTTGTTTGTTTGAATCTGCTATTTAGGTGGCTCTTATAACAGGCAATGTAGGTAAGAGAGGCAGCTTTTTAACAGCAGAAAAATTATTTCGCATTCCTCATTTGGTCTGTTGCCCTAGGTTACCAAATATTGTACTGTTGCTCTAAGATAAATAACTCATGGTACCCAGCAAGAGCAATAGTGAAGGTATTCAATCAGTACATCATTACAAAAGATATATCTTCTTGTTTACATGCATATGTAAAAACAAAGTCCCAGGAAAGCAATTCGGTTCTTGCTAAAACTTTAACATCTACAGTTAACACATACTGAAATATCTGAAAATTTTATGTTTATATTAAAATATAGGTAGCACATTATTTTAATAGTTCTTCTAAAAATATAATGTCTGAAGTAAAGCAATTAAAGTGTCTCATTTGGATTTAATATTTAATATAACTAACCTAAATTTTAAAATGACATTAATCCCTCTTTTGAGTGTAATATTATCATTTCCTTTATGCAATTTTATAGTTTTTATACAAGGAGTGGTATGTTGAGGTAGAAATAAAAACTAACAAAATATGTATACGCTTTTGGAATTAAAACTGCTTTCCATTGATTAAATATGTATTTTTATGGTAAGATAGCAGGAAGCAGCTAAGAAAATTTTTTAAAATAAAACAATTGGGTAATTTATGACTTCTTAAATATATATTGCAAAGTTGATTTCAGAAGAAACCTTGGGCTTCCTATTCTTATTAGTAGTTTTGTCATAAGCATCCAGGGAATTTGAGGGTCCAAAATTCTCTTCCAAGTAACTCCCACCCCCAAAACAATTCATCTAGGGTCTGAAAAACATAAGGAGAGAAGAAAACCTAAATTTTGGTTGCTCATAGAATGTCTAACCAGATAGTGATGATGACAAATACAACAACAAAAATAATGTGGGACACATTTTACTAAGCTTTGTATATTTTAGTCTAGCAATTCTCAAATGTTAGCATAAGTCAGAATCAAGTTGAGGACTTGCTAAAACCCAAGCTGTTCGCCTCCACCCCACTGATCACCCCACTGATTCAGTAGGTCCAGGTTGTGGTCTGAGAATATACATTACTAGCAAGTTCCCAAGTGATATTTACAGTGCTGGATACGTTACTACACTTTGAGGACCTTTAACCTACAAAACAATTTTTATGAGGCAAACAATATTACTCCTGCTTTACAGAATCTGAAGAAGAATCTGAGCCTCAGAGTTATTAGGTTGATGCAAACGTAATTGCGGTGTCTGTCATTAAAAGTAATGGCAGACACTGCAGTTACGTTTGCATCAACCCAAATATTAATAAGTACAGTCTAAAGTCACCCTGTGGTTCAAGTACAGGACCCTATTACTCTTAATTCCAAAATCATAGCCATTGAATTTAGAAAAGGTCACTGGCATTAAAGTATCTGAAAGTCAGTAAAAACTTTGCTCTGAAAAATCTGAAATGCAGTATTTGATATATCTTGTTCCTTCTGTCATGCAATGGCATGGAACGTTGACTATCCATTTAATCTGACCAATGTGAATAACGCCAACTCCCTTTAAGTTGAAAATGACTTTATTCTTAACAGCTTGTAGAGGAAAATTAGCCAAGCAATTTCATTTCATAATTTCACTTTGAGCTATATTATTACAGGAAAGGTTGAGATTAAACATTAGGTCTGTAAGAAAAATACCTCTGGTAATGCATTGCTTAGCTTAGCTGCTTGGATGAGAAAACACTATGAAACTTCCCTAAGCCTTTCAGCCAGGTCATGGTTGTTTAGCACACACTTGACAAAGGCAGAAATGGTATGTACCACATTGTAAACTCAGACAATAATTAGGGGGAGAGGAGCACAGGTGAAAGAGGGTTCGACATATGTGAAGCAAGGGAATAGGAAATCAGCAACAGGCAAAGTGTATCCAAGATATTTAACCCTGGAAAACCTAGAATGGAGAGTTACTCCTAATAACATACAAGTTGACAGTCAGGAACTCTGATAGAAAGTGTTTTTAAGGTAGCAACAGCAAGAAGTGGGAACCTGCTAAGTGTAAGCTTCTTTGACCTATAAGATCACTGGTAATTTATGTGGCCTGACTTTGAGTATAGCAGGGTAAAAAGCAATAAATTAGAACTGGGCTCTCGCTGGATATGTTGGGTTTGTTTGTTTATTTGCTTGTTTGTTTGTTTGTTTTTTGAGAGACCTCATATGAAGGAGAGAACCCATATATATTATTCAAACCTGTATCCTTGAAAGTATCATATTGTTTGATACGTGGTAACGGCTCAGATGTTTGTTGTTTTTTTTTTCTTTTGAGTGGAAAAATGGATGTTTAGTTAGAGGTGTGCATACAAAGATAGATAAGTGAGTGAAAATGTATAAACATAAATTGAGAGTTAGGATTTTCCAAAGCATGAGTAGAAGGCAGTTTAAAAATGTTTAGTTTGATTTCAAACATATGGAAACAGTCTTAGGGAGATACAGGTTCTAGATTCAAGTTTATCTGTGAACTAGTAGTGTTACTTTGGGAACATCTTTGTACTTTGAGATATTTGAGATATTGAGACAAAATTATCTCTGAGTAAGAGAAAGATATACTTTAGTTATATTTAAATATTTTGCAATTTAATACCTACAGGCATAATAAATTCTTACTGTCAATCACCATAGATTCTGATTTTAAAATAATTTCAATGTAATTATATTTAAGATTGTGCAATTAGAATGACCTGTGTGATTACAGCTGAGCTGAATTTTGTAATTCAATTAGTTGGTGAATAAATTTTTTTACTCTATAACTTGGTATATGAAAGACTACATTTTAAAGCCTTTAACAAAAGTCTTTATGAAATAAATTATTAAATTGGAAATTAATTAATTGAAATTACAACAATCCACTTGTTCTATAAAACTCAAGCATGAAATATTTTACCAAATTTGTGATGGTCTTTAACAAATTAAAAAATTATCTCCTAGCTTAATACACTAAAGGATATATAAAGAATATAGCTATGTAGACTTAAATACTCAACACACAGGCAAAACAAAGTATTACCTCTCTGTGAAAGGTCTAAACCCTGATTTTTAAAATGCTTGATAATTTGAAAACCTGTTCAGTTTTTAGATATTTTAAACATTTCATATTATGTATCTAGTGAGACATAATCACATAATTTCATGAAGTTTCCTGCTTTTTCTTAACTAATAATTCTCTATTTCTCAGTGAACCATGAAGGCTTTAGCTGTTACTTACTCAAGTTGGTTATTATTGTCACACAGCCATCACTGAAATTTATAACTTCCAAAATAAAGTTAGACACATGATCCTAAGCTCCATGCTACCCAGACATTTACAGCCTCCACAGACACTGGCTCTGCTTCTTGAGGAGAGAGGGAATATAATATTTGGCCCTGTATTTGTGTTAGTATAGGTCAAAATTTTTGTTGAAAGGTGAATAAACTATTGGATGGTAGGTTAGTAAGTGCTCTTCACAAAAAAGTGCATGGGTGATATTATCACTCGTGCATTCAATCTAATACTAAAGTATTAGATTCAAAGAAAATTTTCCTCAAAAGAATATAGTTTAGAAAAAAATAGTGTTGGCAGCTCCAAACTTCCAGCCTTCCAGAGAAACATCAAAAATGTGCAGAAACTGCCAGAACCAATTTGTCAGGACTCTGGAAATAGGCAAAGGTTTACAGCCACCAAGTGAACAGTAAATAAAAAGATAACTAAAAAAGTGGTAGGAAAACTTTGGGCCATTTTTGCTTGCCCTTTCCTTACTCCCTCCCTGCACCATGACATTCTTGAAGACGACAGCCTGTGTTCTCAACACAGGACCATTATTCCAAGTTCTGGAGAGAACAGAGCAGATCTCATTTAAAATCATTATGTGTGTCTATTCAGACTTCTCAGAGGACTGCCTGAAGGACTGACACAAGGTGATTGTCTCTGTTTTGCCTGTCTTAGAACTCAGGTCAGAGAAGCAGTGGGCATTGCTGTAAAATGTTGTAAGGCAAATGAAAAATGTGTAGTGGCCTAGGGCAAAAAAATTACACCTGAGACATAAAATGTCCTATGGCCTTGGGGAAAAAGCTAGGGAGAGTGTTTATTTGGGAAATTAGGGCATTCAAAATACTGTGTATACTGAGTAATTTACAAATTCCAGGGTGTACTGAAGAATGCAAAAAGCTACACACGCCCAAGGCAGAATATATTCTCAGAAAAATCATGGGAAATCCCTAAGCTTTCACAAAAATAAAATTAAAATGAAGATTTACTCCTATATTTTATCTAAAAGTTTTATGTTTTGAGATATTTTATTTAGATCTATGATCTTTTTAAACTCTATTTTTTTATATGGTGTGAGGTAAGGGTCTATTGTTAAATTGAAAATTTCTTAATTTGTTCAAATTAGATGATTGCCATTCCATCATATCTGAGAGTGAACATTAGCAAAATCAAAATCAATACATTTATACTTCCTTCCAATTACATTTTCTCCAATTCCATCTTTTTTGTGTAAGTATATCACCATCCTCATTCTGCCTGATTATAGGATGGAGTCTTGATTGCCTCTTTTCTCATTATTCTAATCCAGTTTATTACCAAATTATATGGAATTTATTGGCAACATATCATTGGAACTCTTCTTTCCTCTGAATTCATGGTACTGTGGTACTCTTTCAAGTCAGAACTCCAACAACAGTTTTTCTGTGAACCACTGCAAGAATTTACTATTACTGCCAAATTTACTTATATTGTACACTGGTACCAGCTACTAAAATTCCAGACTTACAGCCTTTCAATATCTGTAAATTACAAACATGTTTTCCTGGTATTCAGTGTTCTTCTGATTTCAACTTACTTTTCTGTTTTGCTCTTGCCTCTCATCTTACCAAGCTGAATACCTCCCCCCATTTTCCTGATAATATTAACTACTACACTGCCATAACTTGGATCCTTGATTTACGTGGATTACTTCCTATTATTATGATACTCCTTTCTATTATCTCTAACACAGATGACAGCTCTTCACTGAAAATTTTTCAGATCATTTTGGCTGGAAGGTCTGAATGTTATTTTTTCAGCTAGATTTTCTGTCCTTTATTATCTGGTCTTTTCTTATGGCACTCATCAGTTTATGCCATGCCATAAAGAGCAACTGCTTTTATAGGCTTTGTGCCATTTACCATAGCACAAAGTCCTTCAGAGTAAACTCTACAGGTTATTTGCACCCCAGGTTTTCTATTTTTAAATAGTGAATTTGCTACTGAACACACACTGTATATTAGGCAAAGTCCAATTCTGTGCTCAGAAAATAAATGTATTGTTCCTCATAGAGATGAAAGGACCAAAGAAATGATTTCACCATTTCAATCTATCAGAAAAATATAGTCTGCAGAGAGGACACCCTTTCAAAGTTATTGCTGTTTATACAGCGAATGTATGCTTCAATCATTTTGTCTACTTTCTCTACATTTATTGAATTTAATATATGCATGTGGGATGGAACCATCTTTAAACTAATATTGGTTTAACAAAAATGAAGATCTATATGTCATCAGCTAGATATGAAAGGGGAGACCCATGGATGCTCTTATGATAAAAGTCAGTTACAATAATGGTTTTATTATTCTAATGTTGCGGGAATTAAGGGATGGGAGAGACCAATGGGTGGAACAAGAGGATTTTGTTTAGGTGGCCACTAGCCCAGCGGATTAATATCCAAAGGCTGAGCCCCAAACAGAGACAGGGCTTGACGTTTATACATGCAACCAAAGGGAGTTGGTCAGTCAGTGGTGCGAAACCTGTAAGGCGGGTAAGCAAGCTTACAGAAGCAGAACAAAGGCAGTTTATCAAACAGTGACAGGTTTTACAACTCAAGCCAGGTGTTGCAACTCAGGCATGTCTTGTGACCTTTGCTGTGCTGCACAGAAGGGAAAAACAGGAGCTTACAAAACTTGCAAAGATAATTGTGAGACTAGTAAGGGGGGAAAGGAGAAGCTGAAAGAGAAAAACTTGTTTTTCCCAACCTTGCTCCAGGATGGGAGGGAGAGACTCTGGAGCCCATCCCTTCTGGGCCCCGGCTCTGCAGATAATGCTATCAAAGCCTCAACAGAGCGCTGCTCTTCCTGGGTCTTGGAGTGAGTCAGTCTAGTACAGGAAAATTTGTTTTTCTTTTTACATCTTCTGTTTCACTAACACTGGAGCCAACTTCATTTAGATCAAAATCTACGTCTCTGATTTAGTCTACAAGACCAAATAGGATCTGTTCCTTCCTATTCCTCCAATCTCATTTTTCCTGAATGTACTTTGCTCCGTTTGAAATAGTGCCAGTCACTATTCTTTTATGTCTCTGCTTAAATAACTATGATTATGTTATCTAAATAGAACCTTTATGCACTCTTTTCTCTATATTGTATTCATTTTCTAAACATTACTTACATTATATTGCATATTTATTCTTAAATTATCAGCCTCTCTCTGTAGTGTAAGCTCCATTACACTACAGGAAAGTAGTATAACTCCCTACATTACTAGGGAAAGTATGTTTCATCTACAACAATACCTGCCATGTGATCCTCTTCAACACATTTGTTTAATAACTGAATGGAAGCTGATGACCTTGTTGTAAATGGTCCCTTGACTGTATGCCAGAGTGATTTTATTTCATGAAAACCCAGCATGAAATCAATTCAGGAAGTCAGTGATTACAGAAAACTATGAAAATATCCCTTAAAATAAGTTATAAATGAGAAAAAATAATCTTCAAGGCACATGCTCCCTGGAGGGAACCAAACCCTAAAACATTCTCAAAGATGACAAAGTCTTCAAAAACCTGACTAATTAAATTGAAATTGTGCTGCGGCTGTTGTTAAGAGAGATTAACCAAAGGTAGAACATTTTCTCTCACCAGAGTCTTTGAAAGACAAAATAATAGAAAAACTTAAGTAAAAATGTTAGAGGGACAGAAATCTAAGGAGAATAGCAATAACATGAAGAGAAAGTGCAGAGAGAAAGGGTTGGGTTGTTCTCGTCAAATTATTGCTCAGAGTTGTCAGACACTTCTCATTATCTTAATGTAATGTATCTTCTTTTCCATGGATTTTCATCTCCATTGTATAATGTACCTTGAGCCTGAATTAGGCATTTTTTGCTAAAGCAGTAGCATTCAGAGAAAAAGATAGATTTGAGGTTTACCAGAGTCATGCACACCTGGCAGTACTCCAAGACATCTGTAAATCATGAGGACTGAACCTCTGCCTTCAGAGTCCAAGGCTTAGGCCCAGTAAGGGGAAGTGGGGGCCAGGCGTGGTGGCTCACACCTGTAATCCTAGCACTTTGGGAGGCTGAGGCAGGTGGATCACCTGAGGTAAAGAGTTCAAGACCAGCCTGGCCAACATGGTGAAACCCTGTCTCTACCAAAATACAAAAATTAGCCAGGCATGATGGCGGGTGCCTGTAATCCCAGCTACTCGGGAGGCTGAGATGGGAGAATCACTTGAACCCGGGAGATGGTGGTTGTGGTGAGCCGAGATCACGCCACTGCACTCCAGCCTGGGTGGCTGAGTGAGGCTCCATCTCAAAAAAAAAAAAAAAAAAAAAAAATCAGTAAGGGGAAGTGGGGGGTCCAGGCTTGTTTCTGAATGGCAGTCCAGGAGCTGGTTAGGGGTAAAGTGGGCTGGCATTTTTAACCAAGGATTTAGACAGCGTTATGCAGCAGATTGGGGAACAAAGCCAGTGAATAAAATGAGCATTGGAGGATTGAAAAAGAAATAATTTAGATGGAACTAACGTTTTAGGACACTTTATCCATCAGCCAACACTCTAGACAAGCCACAGTGCAGATTGTGTGGCTAGGAGCCTAGGTGTAATGACTATTTCAGACCTCATGTAATAAGCTCTAATCAACCACTTGGGATAGAACATAAACTCTAAATTGCATGTTAGTGTTGGTACCAGAGCATAAGGTGAGCTAAAACGACTTGGTAAAAATCCATAGTAATACAGGAGATGCAGTGGATTGGTAGCTATTTTTTCCACATTTCTCACTGGTGCAAATTCCTTTCCAAATAATCTATTGATTTTCTGTGCAAATTTCTGCTCACATTTTATATAAAAATGTATGTCAGTGGACTATTATAAATTAATACTAGAAATTTTCTACACAGTTTCAAGGACCTTATTATTTTGAAAAAATGGTTATTCAAACAGTATTTGTGAAGAGTTCCTTGGGTATTGTTTGAAATTTACAGAGAAAAAAGTAACTGTACATCTTTAGTTTTAGTACAAAAATAAGGGCAAAGCAAATATTCTAAATAATACAAAAAATCTTTTTAGAAAGTTTCAAGTGTTCTTTAAAATGTAGAATAATAAACTAAGTTGTATTTTAAAAAATCTCAGTCTTTCACGTATATTTTTCTATTTTATTATGTAAAGTTGACAGCATTCATGCATTTGTACTAACTTTTTCACTGAATAAATTCAGTGGGGTAAAATAAAATATAAATAAATCTATTTAATGTATACTCTCTAAGTATACATAATGATCACACTTAAAAGATAAACTGAAGATATTAGATGAGACTGATCAGCCACTTATCAAGACAAGGCCCCAAATATAGCAACTATTATAAGGAACAACAGGCTAAAACAAAAATTGTTATCTCAACAAATCAGTAGTATGTACTGTCACTAATTTTTTCTTTAAGTAGGTCTTGGAAAATAATGCAAAATATGATAAAATCACATATAACACTAAAATATGACATTTAAAAATATAGAGGATATAAGGGGAATAAAAAAAGCAGCAAATCTTTATAATACACATACTACTTACCTGATTGTGCTGGATCCCTAACTAAAGAAACACTCCCCATGTCATGATCATATGGAAATAAACCAAATGTGATCAACTGGCGTTTAACCAAATATTGCAAATTAGAGTTTCATCTCTAACATTTCGAGGGAGAAGAAACAAAGCATGTTGTAGTTTACAAACATGCAGCAAAAATTGATTCATACTAATGCAATGCTATTTAAAGAAATTTGCTTCATGTTTTTCTTATGGCTGTTTGATAGTTTGAGAACTAATGAATGATATATTACAGAGATTACATAATAATGTCAACAAGTTCTAAAAAAAATAGCAAAATGCCGGAAGTCGAAAGGTTACCAGAAATTATAATCAAGAGGAGAAAATAGCACAAAATATCAGCTAGATTCTAAAAACTGTTTAACAGTCATTAAGCAATAGGTATCTACGAATACATACCATAGGTGGTAGCTGAATTAATTGCAAAGTAAATTGAATACGTGTATTTAATCTGGAAAACAGAAAACTGTTAACCTTCTGAAGCCTAAGTCACATAAAGCAGCTTCTAATTGTGCTAATCTAGCTGAAGCTAGAGAAGAGAAAACACAGCCTTGAAACTCTGCTTTCTAAGAGAGAATGGTAATAAGCAAGTATAGATCAATTTCAGCATTTATGTAATAGAGTTAGCAACACCATGTTAGCTAGGTGATGAAGAGCAAAGGGCAATGTCCATAGGGACACCCTCCCAAAAGAGAAGAAGTTGAGGGACACTGGAGATATGAAAAGAAATATCCAGCACTTTGGGAGTCCGAGGCAGGTGGATGATCAGGTCAAGAGACTGAGACCATTCTGGCCTACATGGTGAAACCCTGTCTCTACTAAAAATACAAAAATTAGCTGGGCCTGGTGGTGCACTCCTGTAGTCCCAGCTACTTGGGAGACTGAGGCAGGAGAATCTCTTGAACCAGTGGGGCGGATGTTGCAGTGAGCCGAGATCACACCACTGCACTCCAGCCTGGTGACAGAGCAAGACTCTGTCTCAAAAAAAAAAAAAAAAAAAGAAGTATAAAAAGTGTATATTGGGTAACCACAAAACACACTTTATAATTTAAGCCATTAAAATTGAGATAATAACCCAGGGTGGGGGAGTATTTAAAAAATAATTGGGAAAAGCAAATAATGAGAGTTTCAGACATTCAAGGAGGAAGCAAAAGAAAAAGCATCTCCACAAATTATGCAGAAAACAAAGAGAGAGTTAAGAGGAAAGGCAATTAAAGGATGGTAAATGAACAGAATACTAAGACCATTAAGGAAGTAAAGAAGATACACCAAGAATAATACCAAGAAAGTTATGGCGTATAATTGACAAAAATAAATCATATAAAGTTTAAACAAATCATTAGATAAAAATTATGAAGTCATGCTGCACTCAGATGGCAATCAGTCTGTCCTATAGGCAATTAATAAATGTGTTCCTAAAAGTAATTAGCCTCAATATGTGATTTGCTATTGTCTTTCTTCATTTTTCTTTTGGATAAATAATCATATTAAACACACATAAGCACACATATATATCAAATACATTTCAGAAACATTGCACAGTATAACCTGCACTATGCAATGTGGCAGGCAATAGCATCTGTGGCTATTTAAATTTGTACCACGCTAATTAAAAAGGAAATTGAATTAAAATTCAGTCCCTCAGTTGTCCTAACACAATTCAAGTGTCAATAGCCATATGTGGCTAATGGTTACCCTATTGGATAGTGCATATACAGAACATTTCCAACATTTCAGATAGTTATATTGTGCAGATCTGGGGAAAGCACAATCTATTTTATCATATTAACAGTGCAAAGCAATGTAGAAAACAATGAAGTGTTATTTAGTGATAAAAATGAATGAAGTATCAATACACAAAACCATATATATAAGTCTCTAGGAAATTACGCTGTGTGAAAGAAATCACACAAAAAATAAATATTGAATGATTCCAGCTATACAAAGCTCTAGAAAACGTAAATCAACCTATATTGTCCAAAAACAGAGTAGGGGTTATCTATATAGGGTGTGTCGGGAAGGACAGGAGAGATTACAAATGGTGCACAAAAAAAACCTTGCGTGTGATAGATTATTCTCTGTCTTGATTACAGGATGCATTTATGATGGCATTCATATGTTAAATTTTATCAAATCGCATACTTTAAATATCCTCAGTCGTAAGTCAATTATACTTACATAAAGTGACTTTTAAAATATATGCAGAAAATTGTGTGAGCAGATTCGCAAATGGTGTAGAGAAAGCCAGGCAGAAATAAATACATCCACATTATAAAGGTCAGAAAGTTCTTACTTAGCAGGGCAGAAGGTAGGAGGGAAGTTTGCTTAAATCAATTAAGGTGTTCAAAAAGGTATATGACCATATGTAAAAAGTCATCCAGGTGAACGCCAGGCGCGGTGGCTCACGCCTGTAATCCCGGCACTTTGGGAGGCCGAGGCAGGTGGATTACCTGAGGTCAGGAGTTCGAGACCAGCCTGACCAACATGGAGAAACCCCGTCTCTACTAACATACAAAATTAGTCAGGCATGGTGGCACACGCCTGTAATCCCAGCTACTCGGGAGGCTGAGATGGGAGAATAGCTTGAACCCCAGGAAGCAGAAGTTGCAGTGAGCTGAGTTCGTGCCATTGCACTCCAGCCTGGGCAACAACAGCAAAACTCCATCTCAAAAAAAAAAAAAGTCATCCAGGTGTACATTCAAGATTTGCACATTTTACAATAGGCAAGTTATATCACAATAAACAAAGCATGGAGAGGAATAAAAGACCACGACAAATGTTGCAGAGTGTGCAGCAACTGGAATTTTCAGAAACTAATGTTGGGAGTGTAAATTGGTATCATTAAAAAATATTGTCAAATGTCTACCAAAGATGTATCCCACCTCTTTCATTCCTAGTTATAAATCCAACATAAGTATTCCCATAACAACATGCTTTTGCATAGCCAAATATGAAAATAATTTAATTTTTCATTCACTGTAGTAGATAAACTGTGGTATACTCATTCAGTGAAATACTACCCAGCAATGAAAATGAATAATGAAAGCATCAGGCAAAATGGGATGAAATTCATGGATGTAACATTGCCTGAAAGAAAGAAGACAGAATATTCTGTGATTCAATGTATATAATGTTCAAAATCATTAAAATTTATATAGGATGACAGAAGTTAGAAATGTATTAGGGTATGTATTAGACAGTGAATATAAAGGCAGTTTCTAGAATTTTGTTTATGTTCTATTAATCTGAGTGGTGGTTATGTGGATGTGTGCACTTTGAGAAAATTCTTCATGCTGAACATTGATGGTTAACAACACCTTTATAAGCATATGTTTTAAGTCTTTTAAAATTTAGATAATTTGAATATATTATATACTTCACTATTTTCTCACACAATGAATTTAATTAGACTCATAATGCAATTAAGAAATTGAATTAGATTGTTAATAAATTTCAAAACACTGTGTACCTACAATAAAATTGCTCATATAGCTCTAATCTCACAGAAGTTTAGAGACAGAAGAAGCTTTTGGTTTTTATGAAAGCTTATCTCCTTGCATTTACATGTGATGTTGATGCAGTTCAGGCAGTCTACCTCACATGGGTGATTAGTTGCAAAACTGGGGCTAGATCCGACTTCCTGACTGCCACTGTAGTACTCTCTCCAAATGACTCGGTATCTTATTTAACTTACTGGAGTCTGGTATAAAATAATAGGAATGTTGGGAAATAATTTTTATCTTGCCTGGTTCTCTAAATGTATTTTTACAAATCTTAAAAGTAATGAAGTGATTTAAGTATTTAATTTAGGATTTATATTTTACACATTTTAGTCTTAAGTGTGTTTAGAAGAACTAAAGCAATTATAACTCCATCCATTTGTCACCAAGCTGTATAATAGTTTTCTAATTTTTTCAAACTTCACAAATAATTTTGTACAAATGTGTGCAATTTACAAGTAATTTCTTTAAACCGGTTATATAGTCCTGGTTGGAAACCAATATAAATAAATATGTTTCAAAAAAACAGTAATTACCTACCACGTGACAAGCACCTTATCAAGTTGTTGAGACACATGTTAAGCAGATCAGATACTGGGCTTGCTCACATACAGCTTCCACGGTAGTGATGAATTAAGGCATTCATCACTTAATCACTAACATCTCCTACCCCCTCACCCCCAACACACACAGAAACTGTGAACTATACAGAAAACTGTGATCTCTGCAGAGTGTGAGATGGAGAGAGATGACTGCCCTGACACACACTCCCACAGGGGAACCAGGTAATCCAGGTGACAGCCACTGGGAAGACCTTAAATCCTACCCAGTGCTGGAGCTGATTTAGCGACAGGTGAGGAATTTATGAGAAGGAAGAGCGCTGGGACATGCTTTGCATGCACTTCCAGACTCCAGCAAGAATGGATGGAAGCTTTCCTGATCCTACCTCACAGAAGAGCTCATGGATGTCAGCCAGCTAACTCAGGCTTCAGTCGCAGGTTGAGAAAAATTCCCAACTGAGATTTGTCATATAATATTGAGTGGGGATGAACCCCATTGGCCAGAATCAAGGGGCAAGTGGGAAGCATGCTAAAGCTGTGGACTTGGAAGCTGGGTGCCCCTGATTTATAGGCAAGTCAGGAGGGACATGGCCTGAAAGCCGTGGTTTCTGTCTCCATCAGGAAGGCTTATACCTGGAGCAGTTTTTGGTTCTCAACACGGGCTGCCAGGAAACCAGCTAGCTGCTGTCAGCAGAACCCTGCAAGTGTGAGACTTGCCTTACCAAATGTTTGAGAGCTGAGTGGGCCTAATTTTTGTTTAATTTTCCTGCTCCCCATGCGCATTCTTTTGTGCAGCAGAGGCAGTGGCATTCCTCCCCAGAATTACCCCAGCGGCCAGAAAACTGCCCTCTGATCCCTACCAGGGCCAACGCTTGTGCCTGCACATGGGGAGTCAGAGCACGAACTTGCCCCTCCACCTGACCTGGTAGCATAACACAATGGACAGGGACATTTGGGAGCTCCATGGCTCTGCCCGTTGGCTGAGACACTACAGTACCACCCCTGGGTAACATAAGGCAAGCACAAATTCCACTGCTACCACTACAGCTGGTGCTGTTTTGCAAGTGCTATCTCCTGGCTGGAGGCCAACTGGCACAGCCCATTACATCTACAGGCACAGTAACACAGTGCTCAGGAAATAGAAAATGTTTGTGTGACCTCAGATATCACCACTGCCTGCTTCACCCTGGCTAACCAGAAGGTCCTGAGTCTATCCACATGACCAGCTCATTACCACTACAGCTGGCATTTGGGAAAGCCGACACACACAGGCTATTTATAACAAAGGAAATCCGAGTCTACATCACTCTCCTTTCACCCCATCAGAGCTGGTACTGCCTCTATGAGACTAGAGGACAGGTCACACCACTGGATCCCTTTGCAAATATTCCCCAGCACCACCCTGGAGTGTGGCAGCCACGGTGGGCAGCTAGACCCAGAGGAGCAGCAGGATTCACAGTAATCTGGCCCTCAGGGACTGCTATTCCTGCAAGAAGGAGGAGCACGTAACATTAAAGGAGTGCCCTGTGGCACAAAAGAAACCAGACTGCAGGCCTGGAGGCCCTGAACTTTCCACTTGTGGGAAGTTTCTTTCAGCAGAGGCACAGGTGCAGTGATGGGCTGAGTGGGAAAAGTCTGTGGCTCTACTCCAACAGTCAAGCAGCCTTGGTGCTCATGAAGGGTATTGGAAAAAGAAACTTCTTCTTTCCCTTATCTACCACTGTAGAAACAACTGGGGCTTCTCTCATGAGAGCTCAGCATGGATACATCTTTAGACAACCTTTCTGGAATACTTCAGGGTGACTACAATCAATAGGAGGAGTGCCCTCCAGGTTCAGGCTTGCATGAGAGGTAGAGTCACAACCTCTCTGTACATGGAACATCAGCATTGTTGAAGACGGAAAGAGATGCGTGTCTGATCTGAACAACTGGAACACCAGGTCAGGAGTGTGACTGGGTGAGGGGGCGTGGATCACTTTCCTGCAGGCCTGGAAGGACAGCTGTGGTGGCTCCCTTCCTTCCCTCTGAAAAGACTTCAGTGCATTTCGCTGAGAGCTAGCTTCCCCACCCACCTCTGACAAGGTGGACACCTCCGCCCACCATTGGGATATTGCATTTACCCACCTGCTTCAGCGACATTTCTGTTTTTCCCATGGACACCCCCTACTGGCATGAAGCCTGAGGTATTTAACCAGTGAATAAATTAATGGGAAAAAAATTAAGTAAACACCACTGGGAAGCAAGATAAACTTAATGAGATCTCTGCCATTACAACCCCACAAAAGACAGTAAGCCTGCTAACATACCAAGTACATTGCTACTACAACCAGTATCTGAGAAAACCACACAAAGTCTCTCTAAAACCAAGGAACTCATACAGAGTCTTTGCCAATGAAGGAACCCAGAGTTTTTGTTTGTATGTTAGCTAAACTTGTGTGTGTGTGTGTGTGTTTTCTTTGATGAGTGAAAGAGAACTGGAAAGGAAAGGAGAAAATAAAGAATATCAGTTCTGTGTTTGGGGAGGGGTATGTTTGTGTATTTCCCCTCTGGAGACTTCTATGCCATCTGGCTTTCTGAAAAAAACATATTGAAGAGAATACATTTTTACTCAATTACATTAAAACAGGAGATAGTGACAATTAGGAATTATGCATGCAAATTTAGAAAAGACATATAGTAACCCTTCCTTATCTGTAGGGGATATATTCTAAGACCCCCAATAGATGACTGAAACCATGAATAATACCTATATATTATGTATTTTTCTATACACACATACGTATGATAAAGTTAAATTTATACATTAGACATAGTAAGAGATTAACAACAATAACTAATAATAAAATAGAAGAGTTATAACAATATATTATACTAAAAGTTATATAAATGTGGTCTCTCTCAAAATATCTTATTGTACTGGTACTCAGGCTTTTCCTTCATGGGATGATATGAAGTGATAAAATGTCTTCTTGATGAGGTGAAGTAAGGTGAATGACATAGGCATTGTGACATAGCATTAGGTTACTATTGATTTCTGGCAACGCATCCAAAGGAGGATCATCTACTTGGATGATTCTGGATTATCCAGCCATGACATTGTCGATGGTTGGATGTCAGGAGCAGAGGATGATGACAACTAAAAAGCAGGTACCATATACAGCATGGATGTGCTGGACAAAGGGAGATTCATGCCATGGGCACGATGGGGCAGAATGATGTAAGATTTTATCATGCTACTCAGAATGACCTGCAACTTAAAACATGAATCGTTCATTTCTAGAATTTTCTGTTTAGTATTTTCAGACTGCTGTTGACCACTGGTAACTGAAATCACAGAAAGTAAAATCACAGGCAAGGGGAAACTACAGTATAAAGAGGCTACATTTCAACTTTTGAAGAACAATTCTCCTATTTATCACTAATATATAATTAGTAATATCTTTTAAAACATATGTGAAAATAGGGTTACCTTAGTTGAAAAAAATGAGAGACAAAGGGTAATAGAGTACATCATGTAATAGAGTAAATAAAGGATAATAGTATATCTGTTAAAACCACAAGAATAAATTTTAAATCCCATATTCAATTGCTAAATCATCACCTTTTCCTTTTGTACAGTTTTTATTAACCTGGTTGTATTCAGTCAGTTGAGAGATGAAATGATCTCTGATCACCACTTTGAAAACTCAGTGGTGGATTCATCTTAGTGTAAGGCATGAATGGACCTCAGCAGTGCAGGAGATGGACCCTATCTGATACCTCTGTTGTCCTGCTTCACATCTTGTTGGCCTCACTTTTGATTCTAGCCTCATGCGCAGCACATATTCATGTGTGTACTTTTATTCGCTTCCTTCTATAAACATTTTACATAAGCACGTTCTTTCAGCTTTCACTCTTTGTCCTGGCATTTCTCCCACACAGTGAATACCAATAGGAGGCCTCTTGAAAGGAAGTGAGTTAACTTCTTGGGGATAGCCCTCAACCAGTGGTAGCAAAAGGCCATGTAAAACAGGCTTCTCCCTGTCTTCCTTATGTGGATAGTGCTCAAGATCATTCTATGTGCTCTTCAGAAAATCCCTGGCCTGGTTGTTTTGACCCTAAATGCACCCTTAAGCTAATTTTTCTTCCTTGTTTTACTGTAGTCTGTTCTTCACTCCTATTCCCACGGAGCAACTTCCAAAGAAATCTCATATATACAAGTTTGTGAACAAGGTCCTGCTGCTGGGAAAACCTCAAGCCTCTCTCTCTCTCTCTCTCTCTCATATACATAACACACACACACCCCATCCACCCATTAAAAGAAAAAATTCATTCAATGATTATTTTCTTACCATTTATGCTGCCCCTTAAATATTTTTTCCTTTTTTATTTCTTTCTGTTCTTAAACATCTAATACAGATGTGTCTATTCTGTTTTACATTTTAAAATTGAAACACATTACGTTTATTTTACTATGTGTTGGTGGATGATGAAAAAAATAAAGTCTAAATGATACCAAAACAACCAATCAGCCTAGTTACTTGGATCAAAATACTTCCTTGGTTCTATGATAATGAAAATGACAGTGGAACACTTTTTTAAAGAATAAATGCCCTTTCTTTTTCTTTATACCATCACCAATGCCTAGCGTTGTGTTAAGCACAGAATAAAAAGGTATTTAGAACTTACTCTGTCCTAGGTGCTATATAGTTAATATCATTTAAAAATTCCTCACAATTTTTTTGATGTGTGTAGTATTTTTATTCTTCTCATCCTCTTTGTACATCTGAGGCATAGAGAGGCAAGGCACTTGCCCATATTTATACATCTCGTGACTATGTGTTGAAGGAGTTGGCTATGATTGTCACTATGTAGTATGTCATTATGACATAATATTTTTGAGAAGACATATGTACAATTAGAGTAGACACAATTTAGGTATTTAAGAATGACTGCTTACTGAGTATGATATTTCTTGTATAGCCAGATTAAGCCTCGGAATAATGTTTCCCAGAAACCCTTTATATTAGTGATTCTGGTTTAGAGTTGGCTAAACAGAAACTTTTCTATAAGATTTATAAGGTAAAATTCAAGTGGAAATCATTGCTCTCAGAAAGTTGTCACAGACACTGTGACCAATGGAAGCAGAAATGTGAGTAGATGCACGTTGTTTTCACTCTCTTAAACTCCCTTTATGCCCAGCTCTTTTCCCCAACAGCCCTTCTCATTCACCAGCAGTAGCCCAAGACACATCATCAGACGGATAACTATAGCCTAAAGGACTCCCCTTCATAGTTCCACTTTGGTTGCTGGCCATGTTTCCTTTCTCAGTCAACTGGCTGGTGATGCCTCTTATCATGCAACTCCCCCTTTCAAGTTTTCATTTCCCTGGCTCTTCCCACAATTGAATAAAATCGAATTCCTATAATAAATCTCTTATCCTATTACTCACAGTGGTTCTGCTTCTCTGATTTAACTCAGTGATACACTTGTCAACATATATTTATCCAAGAAAAAAGTAAAAGTCTTGATCTTGCCCTCAAAATATTTTTCATTTTGAAAATATAGTATCAACTAATCATTTTGGAAAAAATCAAAATGCAATATATGCATTTCCATAATTGTATAATGGCTAACATTTGGAAGGTTGTATCACATGTTTATTATTTAATATTTAAATGATAATATTAATACTTAAGTGATAATATTATTTAATATTTAAATAATTATATTAATAGTATTTAATATTAATCACATGTTTAATAAACATGCATCACATGTTTATTATATAATATTTAGCATATATTTCTGCATAAATGCTTTTGAATACTCACATTGCTTTGTGATATAGAAAAAGATCATGATGAATGAGATAAATGACTAATACTGATATTCAAAAGCTTTAAAATTGTAGTCACCAGGGAGCTTAAAACACAACAAGACTATTTTAACAACCAATTAAAAAGAAGCACTCAACATTTCTAAGAAAAGCCTAAGTCAAGGAACACATTTATATACATCATGATTTAGGCTTATATGTACTTACTATAGAAAGGACTTTGTCAAGAATCACTATACAATGTTAGCAACATGGTACCTTGTTTGAAATGACGTACATTAAAAATAATAAAAGCAAATAAATCATTGATGGCATTTGAAATTGTTTCCCTACAGATGGATAAAAATATAAATTAGAATCACAATAGTAGTTATGATTGTAATAATTATAATAAATATATACAAATGTATGCAAATGCTGTACATGTGCGTATATATGTCATATATTTTATAAATTTATACATATATACCATTTTAAATATTTATTACTGTGAAAACAATTTTTCATTTATGTTATTTCATGTGATTGGATGTAGAGGCAAGAAATGGACACACATCCAAACAAGTGAATAAAATTATGTCAATTATATAGTTTATTTGATAAATGTCAAAATAAAGTTCTCAAATTATGTTTTTTGAACATGGGAAACATATTCAAAATAGATTGTGAACACAGAGTTAAAAACAGAGACTTGTAGTTGAATACACATTGAAAAGCTGGATTATGAAAAGTTCAACAGACGTCTTTACAAATACAGGTTTAATGTGCATATGAATTTGCATATTAGTTGGAGGAAATAGAGTACAGCATTTCCCAAGTTATTTGATCATAGCTTTTCTTTTGTAGTCATGTTCTACTAAATGTGATTTGGCTCATCTTGGTATACAAAATAGAGGTAAATAATTTGCCCTTTACTGTGATCGCATCTCCAAACCAAAGAAAATATTTTCATCTTCTGTTAATAAAAATGACTAAATACAACTTACGTATTCTTACGTTTTGCAATTGCAAAAATAGTTTCTATTATGCAGCTCATTTTTCTTTATTTAAAAGTAATAATATGGCATGGGGGAAAAACTCTAAACATGCTTTATGAATGTTTGGATGATTAAAATTAAAACACTCCAGAACTGAGTGAGCAGATTTGTCAGGTCAAATTCTCGGCCTATATTTGCCTCTGTAGCATATGAAGGTAGGGTAGTTATCACAATGGTCCCTAGGGTGCACATTTAGAGATTGTATACCAGGGTACTCTCTGTCCATGCAGGGGCTATGCAATGCTCTCTGGCTGCATAGTTTTCACTTATGAAATGTGATCGTTGCAGCCAGAAATTAGAAACAGACTGAGATACAGGCTCTCCTCTAAGTCAGTATTTTTCTTTCCAGAACTGAATCTTAAAATTGCTGACCAAAACATTTTCCCTTGTGGAGATGAAATTCAGGTTTATTAAAGCACCTAGGAGAACTATTCTAGTGACACAATATCATTTTCATATATATATATGTGTGTGTGTGTGTGTGTGTGTGTGTGTGTGTGTGTGTGTGTATGAAATATATATAGGAAAAAATATAGGAAAATATATATAAACTTTGCTTAAAAGAAAAATGAATCAACTTTTCATAAATGCTATTTCATGTAACTTTCTAATTCAAGGCCACCTATGCTTGAATCTCGCAGAGAATGCTCCAGCACCAGGATGCTTAGTTTCCAATGAAAAGAGAAACTGCAAGTAGAGCCCAATATACATTGTTAATTCTTTCTTATTTCTCTGAACCTTGATATACCTAGCTTTATTTTTTAAATATAATTTTTCTCCTTGTATAATATGGCATCTTGACATGTCTATGTTATTATAAGAAATAAAATTGCTTTTTTCTACTTCTCATCTCTCTTATTAAAAAGACAGCAATCACTCCTTTTATCAAAGTAATAGTAATGCAAAATATCTTTTCTTGAACTTCTTGTAATGGATCTGCAAGTTAACAAATGGGTATGGGTATAGTAACAAAAGATTCTCCCTTGCTTGCACATTGCTTTCCCTCTTCTGTCTGATTTTAGGTTTAATTGTCACTCTCTTGGGTCTTTCATTTCTTTGAAAGGTGGTGAATTAGATTCCATAAATCTTAATCAAATTAAAATTACCCTAAAATGTAATTAAAGCAATCTGAAAATGATTGCCTCTAAAAGACATCTTGGTATAATGGAAACAGTAGCAAGAGGAGGATTGTCTGGATTCAAATACTCTCTGAAAGATAAATTACAATATTTTGTAAAAGCCATTTTTTAATTACAGGGCCATCATTCATCATCTAGCAAACAATAGCTACTGACAACTTAATTAAAATGCCTAATAGACATTACAAAATTGCTTGTATGATCCTTTTTGTTTGAACTATGCTAGTTTAACAAGACACCCAAAGGTCCATAAAAAAATTGTTAATATTCAAAATTCTTGTAACTCTGTTAATTATGACTGTCTTATCAGTGACCCATTTACACTCACATTACCAGATTCTAAGACACCTGGGCACTTCTAGCCTCTTCCATTAAAAAGTATTTCTCTACCACTGCTGCATGTGTATTTATTTTTACTTCTGAAGATCTTTCAGACACACTCTCAAGCACACAAAAATATAGTAAAAGATTTCCTGTAGAATATTTGTACATTTAATCCTCTACCCCGAAAATCTTTGTATTTCTGTCTTCCCAAGCAAAATTTTAATTCAGTGATTTCATTTACCTTACATTTACATTTGTTCAATGTGATTTTTCTTTGGGAGGGATTGGGTCACATGTTATAAACCCAACCTCCTGAGAGGCTGGAGGCTGCTATCAGTCATATGGGCAGCTAATCATGCTTATGCGATGGAATCTCTATAAAAACTATAACATCAACGTTTGGATGAGCTTCTCTCTTTGGCAATACTCCCGGTGTGTTGTCACATATTCATACCAGTACAGTAAAACTGTGCTGACTCCATAAGGAGAGTGCAACTGGTAGCTGCATGTTTGCTACCCTTTTAGACTCTGACCTACGTGTCTCTTGGTTGATTTTAATATTTCTTTCTTTTCCATGTAATAAACCATATATGTGACTATAACAGCTTTCAGTGAGTTCTATGGGTCATTTTAGTAAATTATGAAACCTGAAGATTGTTTTGAGTACTTCCCCAAACTTGCAACTGGTGTCAGAAGAAAAGTGGTCTTGTATGGACTGTTCACTCTAACTTTGCAGTTGGCTAAATTCTCATAGTAGTGAATATCTCATTTTACTTTATTGCACTGTTTTCTTTAAACGAGTATCTATTGGTAATTCTTTACTCATTAACTGTGTTTTTTCCTGATTTACACACTTACTAATAAGACGTAGTTAAAGGACCAACATATGTAGACATTACATTAGGAAATCATGTGAGACTGTTGCCCATTGAGGGTTGAAGATGGAATAGAGACAATGAGGAAAATGATTAGTTATTGTTTGACAAACAATATTAGAAAAAAATAATTCAATGAAGAAACTGAAATTGCTTGAGAATGAATGTTTTCTTCAACACAAAAAATGAAATAAGGAAGAATTTAAAGCACTGAAAATTCCACATTGCAGTCTATCTCACAGACATAAATAATAATTTGACTTCAAAATAGAAATTTCTATTCTATTTGGAAAGTATAAATTAGGGATATCTTGGGGTTTTACCCCAGGAAAAGCTGGTCGGGGAGGTTTACACAAAGCATGCAAATAATTATATATCCCAGGCTTCAAGTTACAGAAGTTGCCAAGTTCCAAGTTTTTAGGTTTCAAAAAGGTACTATCATGGTTTATCAGGTAATGAAGGGCTTATAAATGGAGAAAAGCATTTTGTCCAATAAGGCGCATGTAACAAGTAGGAAAATTTTTCAGGTATTTATTTAAAAAAAAATAAAGATAAAAGTAATACTGGAAAGTAGAAGAACTGTATGGGGAAAAAAAGAATAAATTCTCTTTAAGTCTAGAACTGAGATACCCCAAAATGGTCTCACTTATTCAGTTTACTCTAAAGAATGTCTTTGCCAATGACTGAGTAATCTTTCTTACATCATTGAGATATTTTATCTTTACACAGATATAGTTTCAGAATATGTAAAATAGCCTGAATGCTTTTGGAAGTTATAAAGAAATTCAGACATAATCTCTCATCTTGTCGCCTAAATTGTCCAATTTGTTGATAAACTATCATTTCATTGGCATCTGTTCTTCCCACAAGTAAAGTGGAGCGCCATGTGTTTCTTATATGTGATAGTTAAATTCCATGCTGAAGGCTTGTTTTCCAACTCTAAATGGATTTTCACTAGACCCATACTCAGAATCTCTAAGCTCCTATACTTTTCTCTTTCTTTTTCCCTAGCAAATGTAAAATAAACCTGAAAAGAAATGAGCTCATTATGCTTTTTCATCTGAAGTAAAAAGAACAGCAATACCATTCAGGCAGAAGCTGATTTTACAGCTTAGGGCATTTCTTTTAATGTTTCTCTGTATTTCTTCTGGAGTCCTTGTATATGAACTTGCCCAAATTCTTCAGTCTGAGTCAGCTCGCTGTTAAACTTTTAAGAAGCTCTGGTTATAACTGTAAATTTTTCCCTCCGATGTAGAGACATATTTGGCATTTTGACATCCTAAATTGTTTCTGACTTACCTTTAGATTTTGCTACTCACCAGCTTTACTACTAAGGGCTTCTTAAGTAGCTATTTCTTGTGACAAAACTGACTGTAATTTCATCCTTGATAAATGATGCTTTACTGATTTTTCTGTGTAGACGAGAAAGAAAATATATAGCCCAAACTTACCTGACATTCCTCTGAATTCTCATTGAACCATATTCTTTTGTATCTAAGCAATTTTTACATTTAAAAGTAGGAACTTTTTGTAGAGTTTATAAATTCTTTTTCAAAAATTGCATTATGAATTTCCAAGGGACCAAAGTATGATTAGTGTACGATGATAACTGTTTTAAGTAATATTTAAAATTTAATGTGGGTATTCAGAAAATTGAAGTCATTTTTCAGGCCCAATAAACTAGAGATAGACTTACCAAATAATATTAAAAACCATACTGTAATCATTTTATTGTTAAAAATTAATACTCTTAGAAGTCATTTTTTCTGGCATCAAAAATTAATATTTGATAAATATTTATTAAATATCTACTGGTAGATATGATCAGGAATTTATAAGTTACAGTTGATAAATATTATTAACTATCTACTGGTAGATGTGATCAGGAATTTATGAGTTACAGTATGTGAGACATTATCTCTGCTCTTAAAGAAGATATACCATGACTGAGATTAGACCAGTACCTAAAAACAGGTGGTAAATAATGATAATTTTGATAGTAAGTTTACATAGAACTTACTATGTACCAGGTCTATTTTAAGCACTTCAATTACATTATTTAATTTATTATCACAACTCTAGGTGTTATTATTATCTACACTTTAGAAAAGAGTCATCTGAGGAGTAAAGACACTAATTTTCTGAAGGCTTAACAGCTGTTAGGTGACAGGCTCAGATTTAAACCCCAGGTGCCTGGCTCTGGACTCTGTTCACTGCCTGAAAATTGAAAGACAATAACATTATTGACATTGGAGAGAAAGAACAAAATAGAAGAATGTGATTTTAGGGCTTAGGAAAAGCTAAGTTCTTGTGCTGACTCCACAGATTTTCAGCTGTATGTCCGAACCTTACTGATCTCTTGCTTCCATCATTCATAAAATCTTAACAGCTAAAATTTCCTGAACACTTGCTGGAAATATCCACTGGTAGGTGTGAGGAGAAACTTGCTGACACTTTTCTAAGGAACTTACGTGCATTATCTCTTCTCATACTTTCAATAAAATCATGAGTTAAAAACTGTTCATTTTGTTGCCATTTTAAAGATAAGGAAACTGAGGCCCTGACAGTTTAAATAATTTGCCTTAGGTCACAAAACTAGTTTTGTTTCCCCCCTAGAGAGTATGTCTCTACATTAAGACCATGTATGTCTCCATATACTGTCTTAATCACTATACTACAAAGCTCTAGTACAATGAAGATATAGAGATGCTTAAAGCAATGTAGCTATTATTGATATTTTATATTACATATACATAATTTCAGGTTTGTGTGTGTATAAATATACATATGTGTGTGTATATATATGTGTGTGTGTGTGTGTGTATATATATATATATATATTTGGGATATCAGTATAGGCAGAGCAAATTGAACGGAGAAACGAGACATGAGTAAGCCCTACATCTACCCAGGATTCAATTAATTGGTGGTGCAGCCTTTGATTAACTGAGAGGACTTAGAGTTCCAAATTCATCCCAGCCCCAAGCCATGGCCACCACAGTTCTGGTCTGAGTGAGGAAGACCTCTGCATTCTGTTGCTCAAGTCTCAGAGATAAAAAAGGGCTTCCTTGATCATGTGATTTTTGTTTTTAATTCTGTTTATGTGGTGTGTAATACTTATTGATTTGTGGATGTCAAACCATCCCTGCATCCCTGGTATGAAACCCACTTGATCATGGTGTTTTTTTCTTTTTGATATGGTGTTGGATTTGACTATAGCTAGTATTTTGTTTAGGATTCCAGCATCTATGTTCATCAGAGATACTGGTCTGTAGTTTTCTTTTTTTGCTATGTTTTTTCCTGGTTTTGGTATTAAGGAAATACTAGCTTCATACACACACACACACACACACACACACACACACACACACACATATATATATGTATATGTATGTGTATATATGTGTGTATACACACACACACAAACACATTTTCTTTACTTGTTGATTGATTGGTGGGCATTTGGGGTGATTCCATATTTTTGCAATGGCTAATTGTGCTGCTGTAAACATCCGTGTCCATGTATCTTTTTCAATTAATGATTGCTTTTCCTCTAAATAGATACCCATTAGTGGATTGCTGGATCAAATGGTAGATCTACTTTTAGCTATTTAAGTAATCTCCACACTGTTTTCCATAGTGGTTGTACTAGCTTACGTTCCCACCAGCAGTGTAAAAGTGTTCCCTTTTTACCACTTCCATACCAATATATATTATTTTTTGATTATGGCCATTCTTGCAGGAGTAAGGTGGTAACACCTTGCAATTTTGATTTGCATTTCCCTGATCATTAGTGATGTGGTGCATTTTTTTCATACGTTTCTTGGGCATTTGTATATCTTCTTTTGAGAGTTGTCTGTTTATGTCCTTAGCCCACTTTATAATGGCATTGTTTGTTTTTTTCTTTCTGATTTGTTTGAATTCCTTGTAGATTCTGGCTTTTAGTCTTTTGCTGGATGCACAGTTTGAGAAGATTTTCTCCCACTCTGTGGGTTGTCTGTTTACTCTGCTGATTATTTCTTTTGCTAGGCAGATGCTTTTTAGTTTAATTAAGTCCCATCTATTTATCTTTGTTTTTGTTGCATTTGCTTTTGGGTTCTTGGTCATGAAGTCTTTGCCTAAGCCAATGTCCAGAAGGGTTTTTCCAATGTTATCTTCTAGAATATTTATAGTTTCAGGTCTTAGATTTCAGTCTTTGATCTATCTTCAGTTGGTTTTTGTGTAAGGTGAGAAACGAGTATCCAGCTTCCTTCTTCTTTCTACATGTGGCTTAGCAATTATTCCAGCACCATTCGTTAAATAGAGTACCCTTTCTTTATGTTTTTGTTTGCTTTGTCGAAAATTAGTTGGCTGTAAATATTTGGCTTTATTTCTAGGTTCTCTATTCTGTTCCATTGGTCTATGTGCCTATTATTGTACCTGTGCCATGCTGTTTGGCTGACAATGGCTGATATGGATTGGCTGTGTCTCCACCCAAATCTTATCTTGAATTGTAGCTTGCACAATTTCCACATGTTGTGGGAGGGACCCAGTGGTAGGTAATTGAATCATGGGGCAGGTCTTTCCTGTGCTGTTCTCGTGATAGTGAAGAAGTCTTATAAGATCTAATGGTTTTATAAGGGGGAGTTTCCCTGCATAAGCTCTCTATTTTTGCCTGCTGCCATCCATGTAAGACGTGACTTGCCTCTCCTTGCCTTCTGCATGATTGTGAGGCTTCTCCAGCCATGTGGAATTGCAAGTCCATTAAATCTCTTTCCTCTATAAATTACCCAGTCTTGGATATGTCTTTATTAGCAGCATGAAAATGGACTAATACAATGGCCTTATAGTATAGTTTGAAGTTGGGTGATGTGATGTCTACAGATTTGTGGGTTTTTTTTTTTGCTCAGTCTTGCTTTGGCTGTGTGGGCTCTTTTTTAGTTCCACATGAATTTTAGGATTGTTTTTTCCAGTTCTGTGAAGAATTATAGAGGTACTTAGATGGGAATTTCATTGAATTTGTAGATAGCTTCTGGGAATATGGTTATTTTTACAATATTGATCCTACCCATTCATGAGTAAGGAATGTGTTTCCATTTGTATGTGTCATCTATTTCTTTCAGCAGTATATGTATATTGTACTTTTCCTTGTAGAGGTCTTTCCTGTCCTTGATTAGGTATATTCCTAAGTATTTTGTTTTTTTGCAGCTGTGTAAAAGGGGTTTAGTTCTTAATTTGATTCTCACCTTGGTCATTATTGATGTATGGCAGTGCTACTGATTTGTGTACATTAATTTTGTATCCTGAAAGTTTACTGAGTTCATTCATCAGTTCTCTGAGCTTTTTGGAGGAGTCTTTAGGGTTTTCTAGGTATACAATCATATCATCATCAAACAGTGACAGTTTGACTTTATCTATCTGATACCCTTTATTTCTTTCTTTTGTCCAATTGATCTGACTAGGACTTCCAGTACTATGTTGAATAGAAGTAGTGAAAGTGGACATCTTTGTATTGTTCCAGTTCTCAGGGGGAAAGCTTTCAACTTTTCCTTATTCAGTATAATGTTGGCTGTAGATCTGTCGTAGATAGTTTTTATTACCTTTAGGTAAATCTCTTCTATGTTGATTTTGATGAGGGTTTGAATTATAGAAAGATGCTAGGTTTTGTCAAATGCTTTTTCTGCATCTATTGAGATGATCATGTGATTTTTGTTTTTAATTCTGTTTATGTGGTGTGTAATATTTATTGATTTGTGGTTGTCAAACCGTCCCTGCATCCCTGGTATGAAACCCACTTGATCATGGTGGATTTTCTTTTCGATATGCTGTTGGATTTGACTATAGCTAGTATTTTGTTTAGGATTCCAGCATCTATGTTCATCAGAGATACTGGTCTGTAGTTTTCTTTTTTTGCTATGTTTTTTCCTGGTTTTGGTATTAGGGAAATACTAGCTTCATAGAGTGATTTAGGGAGGATTCCCTCTTTCTCTATATTTTGGAATAATGTAAATAGGATTGGTACCAATTCTTCTTTGAATGTATGAAAGAATTCAGCTGTGAAGGACATTTTTGGTGACAATTTTTTATTACCATTTTAATCTTGCTGCTTGTTATTGGTCTGTCCAGAGTTTCTAATTCTTCCTGGTTTAATCTAGAATGGTTGTATATTTTCAGGAACTTATCACTCTCCTCTAGGATTGCTACTTTGTGTGAGTAAAGGTGTTCATAGAGCCTTGAATGATCTTTTGTATTTCTGAGGTGCTTGAAGTTTCTCCTGTTTCATTTCTAATTAAGCTTATTTGCATCTTCTCTCTTCTTGGTTAATCTCATTAATTGTCTATCAATTTTGATTACCTGTTCAAAGAAACAGCTTTTTGTTTCATTCATCTTTCATGTTGCTTTTTGATTCAATTTAATTTAGTTCTGCTCTGATCATTGTTATTTCTTTTCTTCTGTTGGGTTTGGGTTTGGTTTGTTCTTGTTTCTCTAGTTCCTTTAGGTATGACCTTAGAGTGCCTATCCTTCAGACTTTTGTAGGCATTCAGTGCTTGGCTTTTGCTGTATTACAGAGGTTTTGATAGCTTGTTTTACTATTATCATTTAGTTCAAGAATTTTTAAATTTTCATCTTGATTTCATTGTTGACTCAATGATCATATGTAAGCAAGTTATTTAATTTTCATGTATTTGCATGGTTTTGCGGGTTCCCTTTGGAGTTGATTTCTAATTTTATTCCACTGTGGTCTAAGAGAGTATTTGATATAATTTTGATTTTCTTAAATTTATTGAGACCTGTTTTGTGACCTATCATATGGTCTCCCTTGGCAAATGTTCCATGTGGTGATGAATAGAATGTATATTCTGCAGTGGTTGGGTAGAATGTTCTGTAAATACCTGTGAAGTCTATTTGTTCTATTTGCAATTGCAAAAATGTGGAACCAACACAAAGGCCCATCAATCAATGACTGGATAAAGAAACTGTGGTGTATATATACATACATACATATATATATGTGTGTGTATATATATATGTGTATGTGTATATGTGATACATATGTATATATACATATGTATATATACATACATATATGCTTATATATACATATATACACATATATATGTATGTATATATACACATATGTATCTCATATATATGATGGAATTCTAGTCAGCCATAAAAAGGAATGAATTAATGGCATTCACAGCAAGGTGAATGAGGTTTGAAATTATTATTCTAAGTGAAGTTATTCAGGATTGGAAAACCAAACATCACATGTTCTCACTCATAACTGAGAACTATGTTATGAGGATGCAAAGATATAAGAATGACAGAATAGACTTTGGGGATTCAGGGAGAAAGGGTGGAAAGTGGCTGAGGGATAAAAGACTACAAATTGGGTTCAGTGTATACTGCTTGGGTGATGGGTGGATGGGGTGTACCAAAATCTTACAAATCACCACTAAAGAACTTACTCACGTAACCAAATATCACCTGTTTCACCAAAACCTAGGGACATAAAAATATTTTTTTAAATGTCTATTTGTTCCAGGTATAGATTAAGTCCATTCTTTCTTTGTTTACCTTTTGTTTTAATGACATGTCTAGTGCTGTCAGTGGAATATTGAAGTCCCCCACTATTATTGTTTTGCTCTCTATCTCATTTGTTAGGTCTAGTAGCAATTGTTTAATAAAGTTAGGAGAGCCAGCGTCGGGTGCATATATATTTAGGATTGTGATATTTTATTGGGCTAGTCGTTTTATCATTATATAATGTCCCTCTTTGTCTTTTTTTACTGTTGTTGCTTTAAAGTGTGTCTTGTTCTGATATAAGATTAGCTACTCCTGCCCACTTTTGGTGTCCATCTGCATGAAATATCTTTTCAACCCTCTCACCTTAAGTTTATGTGAGTTCTTATTTGTTAGGTGAGTCTCTTGAAGGCAGCAGATACTTGGTTGGTCAAATCATCCATTCTGCCATTCTCTTTTTTAAGTGGAGCATTTAGGCCATTTACATTCAACATTAGTATCGAAAAGTGAGGTGCTATTCTATTTATCTCACTAGTTATTGCCTTTTTTAAAAATGTGTTATTGTATTTTAGGTCCTGTGACATTTATGCTTTAAGGGAGTTCTATTGTGGTGTATTTCAAAGATTTGTTTCAAGATTTAGAGGTGCTTTTAATAGTTCTTATAGTGCTGGCTTGGTACTAGTGAATTCTCTCAGCATTTGTTTTTTTGAAAAAGATTGTATCTTTCCTTCATTTATGAAGCGTAGTTTCTGGACACAAAATTCTTGGCTGATAATCATTTTGTTTAAGGAGGCTGAAGATAGGGCCCCAGTTCCTTTTAGCTTGTAGGGTTTCTGCTGAGAAATCTGCTGTTAATCTGATAGGTTTTCTTTTATAGGTTACCTGGTGCTTTTGCCTCACAGCTCTTAAGATTCTTTCTTTCAAATTGACTTCAGATAACCTGGTGACTATGTGCCTATGCAATGATCTTTTTGTGAAGAATTTTCTGGGTCTTCTTTGAACTTCTTATGTTTAGATGTCTAGATCTCCAGGAAGGCCAGAGACATTTTTCTTGATTTCCTCAAATATGTTTTCCAAACTTTTACATCTCTCTTTTTACTCGGAACACCAATTATTCTTTTTTTTTTTTTTTTTAGTAGAAGTACTGTTTACTATAGACAGTTTTTTAAAATCATGGGATCCACATTCATACAGTTACATGTGACATTGCCTGAACTCAAATCCTCATATAATACACCTTCTTTTATTACATACTACACTACTGTACCTCTAAGCAGGCAAGAATATGCTAAACAGCACCTGATAGCTGCCAGCAAATTAAAAATATCCTGTATCTGTCATTTCTTACAATTCCAATAAGAATTTTCAATCTAACTTCCTAACGTCTCAGTAAAGCTTTTTCTTTCTTTTTTTTTTAATTATACTTTAAGTTCTGGGATACATGGGCAGAATGTCCAGGTTTGTTACATAGATATACATGTGCATTGGTGGTTTGCTATACCCATCAACTTGTCATCTAGGTTTTAAGCCCCTCTTGCATTAGGGGCTTATGCTCTCCCTCCCCTTGCCCCTCACCCACTGACAGGCCCCAGGGTGTGATGTTCTCCTCCCTGCATCCACGTGTTCTCATTGTTCAACTCCCACCTATGAGGGAGAACATGCGGGAAACACCAATTATTCTTAGTTTTAGTCATTTATTCATTTAACATAACCCCAAACTTGGAGGCTTTGTTCATTTTTTAAAAATCTTTTTTCTTTGTCTTTGTTGTATTGGGTTAATTTCAAAGCCTTGTCTATGGGCTCTGAAGTTTTTCTTCTGCTTGTTTGATTCTATTGTTGAGACTTTCCAGTGTCTTTTGCATTTCTCTAAGTGTGTCCTTCATTTCCAAAGGTGTGACTGTTTTTTATTTATGCTGTCAATTTCTCTGGTGATTTTTCTGTCTATATTCTATATTATTATTCTTTTTTTAATTTCTTTAAATTGGTATTCACCTTTCTTTGGTGCCTTCTTGAGTAGCTTAATAATTGGCCTTCTGAATTCTTTTTTTTTTTTTTTTGGCAATTCAGAGATTTCTTTTTGGTTTGGATTCATTGCTTGTGAGTTAATGTGATCTTTTGGGGGTGTTAAACAACCTTGTTTTGTCATATTACCAGGATTGTTTTTCTGGTTCTTTCTCATTTGGGTAGACTATGTCAGAGGGAAGATCTGGGACTCAAGGGCTGTTGTTCAAGTTCTTTTGCCCCACTGGGTGCTCCCTTGACATGGTGTTCTCTCCCTTCCCCTGGAAATGGGGCTTCCTGAGACCCAAAGTACAGTGATTGTTATTTCTCTTCTGGGTCTAGCCACTCAGCAGAACTTCTGTCCTCCTGGCTGATACTGGAGAGTGTCTGCAAAGAATCCTGTGTTGTGATCCATCTTCAGGTCTCTTAGTCGTGGACACTAGCACCTGCTCTGGTGGAGGTAAAAGGGGAGTGAAGTGGACTCTGTATGGGTCCTAGGTCATAGTTTTTTTGGCCTCCATCCAGGAGGTGGTGCTTTCAAGAGAGCATCAGTTGCAGTAGTATAGGGGGGATATAAGCTAGCCCTAGGGTCACCTGGATAAGTATTCAGGTTTCTCAGGTGGTGGATGGGGCCATAAAGCTCTCCAGAGATTATGTCCTTTGATTTTGACTACCAGGGTAGGGGCAGGGTTAGGGGTGTTGGATCTCAGACCCTCCTTTGGCAGGGTTGCTGAAGCTGCCCTGGGAAATGGGGGAGTGGTTCTCAGGCTGATTAAGTTACCTTACCAGGAGGATTATGACTGCCTCTCCTGCATCATACAGGTCACCTGGGAAGTGAGGGAAAGCCAGCAGTGACAGACCTCACCCAGCTCCTACACAGCCCAAAAGGCCAGCCTCACTCTCATGGTGCTCCCCCAGCAGCACTGAGTTTATTTCCTGGCAGCCAGTCAGCAGGGCTGAGAACTTGCCCCAGGCTACAAGACCACCCCACTGAGAAAGCAAGCAGAACTTTCAGGTTCCTTACCCCCCTACCTGCCATGGCTTTTGTGTTTGTATCTGTACTCCCAGTTTGCCCCCTCCCCCCGATTCTGTCCGGGAAACTTTGAGTTTAGTCAAAATTGTTACAAAGCTCAGCTGGAAGTTTCCTTCTCGCTGTGGTCTTTCCTTAATTCCACTGGCAGCCCTCCTCAAGGACACCTGCAGGACAAAGTCAGGAATGGCTTTACTGGGGACCAAGAGTGCCCACAGGGCTGTTTCTGCTGCTTCCTCTACCCCTATATTTTATCCAGCTCTCTAAATTCATCTCAGCTCCAGATAAGATCCTTCTCCCGTGATCTGACCCTTCACTTTCCCCAGTGAGAATGTGTGTTTTCACGGGCAGGTGATTCCCCTCTCACATTTTGGACATTCAGTTTTTCAGCTGTCTCACAGAGCCTGCAGTAGCAAGCCACTTCCTTCAAAGGGTCTGCGGATTTTCTCAGCTTTCCCAGCATGTTCCTGGGGTAGTTCTTGGAGCAAAAGTTCACAACAATGTGTGTCTCCACACATTGTTCTGTCTGTCTGGGTGGGAGCTGCAACTAAGTCCTGCCTCCTATCTATCATTTTTTCTAAACTATTCTTTGGTTTTCTATTTTTTTTTTTCTTCTGAAACTATTCTGATCTCCTGTTTGTGGCTTCTTCAGCATTCATCTACTGCCTTTGTTTGATAGGGAATTGAATATTTATAATAGTTTTTTATTGCTTTTAAACTTATTTTGACAATACACTCCAATTTCATGCGTGACTTACTTCTTCACACTTTTTGATCTATTTTACTTTATTCTGAGTGTATCTGAAATGGTTACACTTTTTATCCAAACTGTGGAACTGCAGCATGCTGAGTTATGCCTTTCATTAGTTCATCAAGGAATTGATACCTAAATGGAATGATACAGGCTTCTTAGCCTTACCAACAATATGAAATATTTTAAAACAGACAAATGAATAGAAATAGATTAAATAAAATTACCGAGTAGAGTTGCAGGGTGGCTCATGGAAACCTGACCGTCAATTTTTTACTCCAGCATGTCTAGTGAACATCATTCAACAACTTCTTTTGTTGCTCAGTTGAAGAAATGTTAATTTGATTAGTGCTGGAAGGAAGAAAACAAAACAAAACTAACTGTCTAAATTATTGAGTATATTGGTCTATAAAGCAATAATTTTTTTAAAAGTTTAAAAGTATAATTGACATGCCCATTTTTTCAATTATTACCTTTATAAAATAAATTTACACCTTGACCCCCAAATACATAAAATAGTCTTTCTCATGTCTTTCTTACCCAGGCTCACTAAATTAATCACTAAATCTGTGATGCTGTCTGCTGAAACTGGATTGATTATTTTTCCCTCCTTTACTTTTACCTAAAGTTAAGCCATTCATGCAGGTACCAAACCTCAGTCAACAGGAGTGTGACTTTCCCTGTCTGGGCTAATTGTCAATGATTTAAGACATACTCTTTCAAAAAAGCTCTTGTACATATAGATAAATTGTAAACTTTGGAAAACCGAAGACAGTATAGTTTTTCTTTTTTCAGGGAGGAGATAGTCATTGAATTGCATTTCTTTGGGGAATTATTTACTGAATCAACAGATAATCAGAAATTGTGATCTGTTGGACTCTTTCTTTTGTGTTTAGTCCAGTAGATTAGTAAATGCTTATTTAATAAATCACATATTCATTACTTCATCCCTATACTGAACATCAAGTAGGATACATAGCACTCAATAGGTAAGTTGTTTAAAAATAAATGAAAACATTAGTGAATAATATTCATTTAAGGTTTGAGAGAGAAAGGATGTTTATGGTTAATATTTTGGCAACTGCTCTGAGTAGATAACTCTACTTTCTAGGATCAACCACAATTGTCTATCACTAGAATATCTCTAAAAACTTCCTAAGTAGATGGAGTTCATAATAATTAGGTAGAAAATAAATAATAAATTTTGATAAAATATTTAAATCACTATTTTCATCAAAGACATCGAATGACCAAAATGTAATTGTCCTGGAAAACTTGCCTTCTAAAAAAATTTAGAGGATTAGGTAACTCCAGAATAATATTTAAGTTTTGTTTGTTTGTTTTTTGTTTATGTGTGTGTGTGTGTGTGGGGGGGGTTGTTTGTTTGTTTGTTTGTTTTGAGACTGAGTCTCACTCTGTTGCCCAGCTGGAGTGCAGTGGTATGATCTCAGCTCACTTCAACCACCATCTCCTCAGCTCAAGGGATCCTCCCACCTCAGCCTCCTGAGTGGCTGGAACTGTAGGTATAGGTGCATGATACCATGGCATATATATATATTTTTTTTGTTTGTTTGTTTGTTTGTTTGTTTTGTTTTGTTTGGTAGAGATGGGGTTTCATAATGTTACCGAGGCTGGTCTTAAACTCCTGGGCTCAAGTGTTCTACCCATCCTGGCCTCCCAAAGTGTTAGGATTGCATGTGTGAGCCACTGCGTTTAAAATAAGTTACAAAACCCAAACCAAAAAAAAGTATCTATGATCAAGAATAGGTGACATTTGCAAGTTACTTTATAAAAGAAATATGTGGCTTCTGCATCACTGTGTCATATCAACCCTAGTGCCTAATATAGGAACAACCATGAACTTTGAACATTGACTATGCAAAAAAAAAAAAAAGAGGACAGACTTCATTTTATTGTTTAAATATTCTGCCATCATGCTCCAGTATATATTAATTTAAGTTTAAAAGTTTTGACATATTTATTAATGTGGAATAAAATACATTTTATATTTATAAGCCCACAACCAATAGTTCCATGCATGATGCTGATTAACAGCAGTGTGACAAATTGAAAACATTTTATTTCTCTAGGTATTTGATTATGATCATTGATCTTAACTAAGAAAATTTCATCTTCTACCAAAATTACAGCTGCTAAAATTAATAAATATTTTACTTTTTTATCTGTAGGATTAAAATAATACCACATTCTCATGAAGATGTTTGAAGATTAGTTTAGATAGATAGAATGTACCTGGCATATATATAAAGAATGAATACATGTAGTGACTAATAATTTCATCATAAAAATTATTATTGTAATGGTTATTATATTTTCTAGCCACTGATCCACATGGAATTTGGCCTTGACATTGAAGAGTAGGATTTCTGGACCAGTATGGAACTTTTTGTCATAGTACAATTCCTGTACCATCATAATCCAAGATAGCATTTAGTTAGAATAAAAACAGAACTATTTAAAACCTTAAGAATGAGATATTGAATCATTATGGCCCACAGATTATGTATTAGTCCATTTTCATGCTGCTGATAAAGACGTACCTGAAACTGGATAATTTATAAAGAAAAAAGAGGTTTAATGGACTCACAGTTCCACGTGGCTGGAGAGGACTCACTATCATGGTGGAAGACAAAAGGCATGTCTTACATGGTGGCAGGCAAAAAAAGGGAGATTGTCCAGGGAAACTCCACCTTATAGAACCATGAGATTTCATGAGACTTATTCACTACCACAAGAGCAGTATGGGGGAAACCACCACCATGATTCAATTATCTCCCACCAGGTCCCTCGCACAACAAGTGGGGATTATGTGAGCTACAATTCAAGATGAGATTTGGGTGGGTACACAGTCAAATCCTATTAGATTATTAAATACAAATTGCAAAGTATTGGGAAACAAGTGTTTTCCATAAACACATGTTCAGATTGAATTCTATCTATAAAAAAGCAGCTCTCTCCCAAAAGTATTTCTGTGGTATGCTCAGAGCAGGCAATCATCTTATCTCTAGGAGTAAATTTAAACTAAAAGTCGGCTATGAGGCTGACAACGTTTCTACAGGATAGTCTTCCAAGTCAGAAAGGTCACTGATTTGGTCTATCTTGTCTTGTTTAGACAGCCTTGAGCTGCTGTCTGCCTAGCCCTTTTCACTTTTTTTTTTTTTTAGAGACAGGGCCTCGTTCTGTTGCCCAGGCTGAAGTGCAGTGGTGTGATCATGGCTCATTGCAGCCTTGAATTCTTAGGTTCAAGCAATCCTTTTGCCTCAGCCTCCCAAGTAGCTAGGACTACAGGTGCACACTGTCACACCCAACTAATTTGTAAAGGCAGGGTCTCACTATGTTGTCCAGGCTGATCTTGGACTACTAGGCTCAAGCAATCCACCACCTTCACCTCCTGAAGTGCTGGGATTACAGACAAGAGCCACCTTGACGGGCCCCTTTTTGCCCTTTTAAAGAGTTCACCTATAACTTACAGAAGTTTGCTTCCCTCTATTAAAAAACATTTTTGAGGACATTTAACATTCTTGGAAACATCTTCATATCTGCTTTCATTTCTTTATACTGCTCCCTTCCAAGCTCCTTGAAAGCTTCCCCATACTCTAACCTGTCTCATTCTTATTCAATATGTTCTCTAGTCTTGGTTCTGTTTGAAAAGTTCACTTTGACACACAAATTGATGACATTTTCTGATTCAGACTTCTCTCTATGGCACAGTGTTTAAAGGACTGGTTATAAAGAAACTCCTCCTCCATTAAGCAAAATTTTAGGATTGTACACTACTCTTCAAGCAGCCAGTAATATTGCTACAGCTTAGCCTTATGGGTGGCTCTGGGCACTAAGATAATTTGGTCAAGCCATTACCATCTCTTGTTAGGCACAGTGACAATCCTCCATCAATTCAACTCTTACTCATTCTCCTCCTCCTAAACACAACATGAAAAGAATATATGTTAAAAAGCTACATTAAAAATATTAAAAATTAAGATCTAATGTAGTGAAACATTAATTGAGCCCCATGCAGATTCAATGACTGGGGTCCAGGGGCAACACTACTATCACAATAGTAAGAATAACTTTATCTTCTATATTACTTGAAGCTTTATCCTGAAATATTAAGAACAAATTATCTTTTTCTATGAGGAATTTGACAATTCAGTGAACTTTATCTTTACTGAGCTCTTTATCCATAATTGAAGGGAGAAGGTGATTTTATAGGATTTGATGAAGGCTTTAGTAAAGGAGTTGGATACGTTTAATTGAGGTGATCTTAGACTTCGATTCCCTTATCACTAAATATAATCAGATTCTAAAGCCTGAATGGTGAAAACTCAAATAAGTAAAAATGAAATTAAGCTGTAGCATTTCATGTCACAAAGACCATAGGTGGCCCTGTTCCTGCTGCCTAAAGGCATACTTTAAACTAGGTTCACATAGGAACCAGGTTTGGACCACTGTTGTGATTAAAAATATTGGTATAGTATGCTGTATGAGCTATCAGATATGATCCTTTTGATATATAAATCAGCTCTTGTTACATAAACACATATTCTATTTTACACTGTTTTTGAAATAGAAGTCAGTATTTTTGTGGAAACAGTGCTGTTATGCCATTAGTTCCTCTAGCCCTGAAATTGGCTGTGGATTAATTCTTGGCCTTGCCAATTTTGTTTTTTCCTCCTGTTCTCTACATTCATTATAGTCAAACCCTATGGCTTGTACGAATATGAATTTTAGATATCTAATATTCCTCACTTCTTTTTAAGAATGGATGGGATGTTGAATAATTAGGAATTATTATTGAAGACCATTTATCAATATCATGATATAGAAGACATTAGGCAGGATATAACTATAAGTTCACATTTTCCAATTTGGTTTAGATTCTTAATTCCTAATATATTCTCTTCACCTGCTCAACTGAAATGTTCAAAAATATAAAGAAAAAAATCACTTTAAAATTTAGTATTAGGAAATAATTTAAATTTCTCCTCCTGCTAAGGGTCAAATTCAAAGTATATTGATCTCAATTCACATTGATTCTAAAATCTTCCATCCAGTAGATGTGGCCAGAGAGTAATGCTAATTCTACTTAGCAGTTCCTAGACATAACCTAGAGTCAAATCTGTCACATAAGATTATTTAGGGGTACAGACAAGCCTGGACACAACTGTAAAGTAGTTAAAATCTTCTTTCAAGTTTTTCCACCTTTTCTTTCAACATTCATGTCTGTATTTTTGGTTCATTATTCTCTCCTTCCTGATTCATGTTACCACATGGCAACTCAGTCTTTACTACCCTGAGAAATTTAGCCAACAGCTGCAAAACCTCCTTTCCTGTGCTGTCTTCCAATGATAAATAATTTCTGTAAGGCAAATTTTCAGAAATAAATTTTTCAAGGGGCAACTAGTTATAAGGTGTTTTTTTCTTATTTTCATCTTAATAAGTCACTATACCTGCAATCAAAGAATCAATTATCTGCATATTGGTTTGTGCTGTCACATGCAGAATAGCCTATGGGTGATTCCCACAAATCACATTAGGTTGACAGTAGATGATTCTAATTTTGTCTTTGAGTGGCTCTATTAAAACAGTTGTTTGAAATCAAACCAAGTTTCACAATTCCAATGATTACCATTGACATTAATAGGAAATCAAGGATATAGCATATTGTTGCCTAAAAAGCAATTTATTTGTTTTCAACCAAATCTTTCATTATTTCAGCTATTTTCATATTTTGGTTTTAAAACAATTTTCAGTGAAAACTGAGTAGATATTAGGCAACTACCTGAATCAAACAGGCTAGATTTACTTTACTCTGAGCGAAAGGAGGTTTGTTTGTTTGTTTTTTGTTTGATCAATGGGACTGTTGTGAAAAAATAAAATAGAATGATGAAGTAAAGAACGGAGACCATTCTCAGGCACTGGAAAAATCAAAATAAGACAATCAGGGAAAGAAGTTTAGAAGTTTGATTAACTTCTAAAACCACTCAGATTTGTTCCAAGTATTTAGAAATACAAAGAGCAGAGAAGAATGCATTCAAGTGTGGAACTCTGTGTTGCTCAATCTAATTAAATATTTAAGGAGACAATTTTGAAAAACTATAAATAAAATGAGATTTATTCATTGAGCACCTCAATATTACATACCAGTGGAATTCGATATTCATAATTTGAGAACATAGACAGCACAAGGTTAATGACTTATCAAGGGATCCAGAACAGGACAGGAATCAGGCAGGGTTCACTTAGCAGTCATTCCTGGCTAATAGTTTTACCAGCTCCCTAGTTATGGAGTACCTGTAGGTATCACCAATATCACATTATGGTTCAATGCATAGTATATTAAAAAGACAATAATCATTAGCATCTATAGAATCCTTAATATGTGGCAGCACTGTGATAATTAATTTTTATTTATCAATGATTTTCAAGTTGTCCACTGGCTACTAACATCCAAATCAATGTGATCCTTACAAAAAAAAAAAAAAAAAGTGCATTATCTTGTCTGTGTCCCAGATCCTACATAAGAATATCTAATGGATACCTATTCTGCATTTTAACATGTGTCCAGGTGATTCTTATGCAAACCAGGGTTTGAAAAACTTTGGTATATTATCACATTAAATTTTTACATCAACAAAATGAAACAGATAGTGTTACTTCTATTTTATAAGTGAAGAAATCTATCTTTTAACTTAAATAATACATAAAAACATGGTTATTTAAATACAAAGATAAAGGCCATAAATTTAAAAAGTTAATATTTAAGTGTATTTATATTTTACTTCTCATGTGTGTTTTGCTTTGTACTGTGGATTAAATTCCAATACTTTTATTGAGCTAATATTATATGAGTGATATTATTAGAAAGAATATTGAATTGAAGATATTAAAGAGACATACACTTTTCCTCCCTGACTAGGGCACACGTTTTTTCCCTGTACTTACAGAGAGAGCAGAGGAACTGAATCTCACATGTAGATAAGCCATTTACTTTTACAAGCCTGGGAATGAATCAAGTTGGGAAGGAAGGCCTGTCATGAGTATGGATACACTTGCAGTTAGATCATAGCACCAGAGCTCAAAAACAGGAGACAAAGCAGTACTGGGGGTAATAGATTTTTCTTTAACTTGATGGGATAAAATATCCAGGAATGTGGCAGCTGGAGTGGCAATTTTATTTTTTGGTTAGAAAATGAAAAGACTCTGCCATTTCTGATCTATACTCATCAACACTGTGCATGTGGCCATATTAGAGATGTGGCTTTCCAGGCAGTTTAAATAATGGAAGCACAAGTGAGACATCCCCTATAAACACAGGGGAATTTACTAAAACCTATAAAAGTATAGGATTTATGGGCACTTCAGAGATAATCTGCTGGGGGATATGGAACAAAGGGAATTTGTCAACAATAGTCCGTTACTGGCAGAGGTTTTAGATTAGGGAATGAATTCTTTTATGCATACTATTGTGACTAGTTCACACATAAAAAGTCATCACAGCAGACTGCAGTCATCAGAGTATGGTGGCTGCCTAAATTGACAGAGCTGGAATGGAATGGTAAATGATGCTTTTGCTTTAGAGTAAATAAAGTGATATTTGATAAGTCTGCTTGATGGCTTGCACCCATTTTGCCTGTTTGTTTCCAGGTGTAGGGTGCTGCTAATCCTTTAGTATCTGGAAGGTAAAGAGCTTCTGAGAACTTGCAACATCATCTTTTTGAAATATAAAATTAAATAGAGAGAAAATAATTCCTTAGTTAAAACAAATAATTTTTGATTGCAGTATAAATTTCAATTCAACAGACCTGGCAAAGAATGAAAGCAGTCTTTTATTGTGGGTAAGCTTGCATGTGACATGAAGGGTTTGTTCATCTGGATATACATAGTAATAGAGGGGTTTCCCACGATCACTAAATGTGCCCGAGTGAGTCAAATTGTAGCAGTTCAAGCTTTGAAACTTGAATTAAAAATGTTTCCGTTTTGCAATCATTACATATTTTAGAATGAAAATGAGAAGTATGGAAAAGACGGTCCTCAATCTATATTTCATTAAATGCACTTATAAAAAATTATGCTTTCTAATTTGTTAGTGTTGATGCTTACAGAACTACCAACTGCATTTATCCAATACATAGCAATGACAGAAAATACGTAAGTAGAAAATAGATAATTTAAAAAATAGACATAAACACAAAAATCATGTCTGTCACCAAGGATGAGTATCGGCAACAAGCTTTTGGATTTTGAATCCAAAGGGCATAATCGGCGTCTTATTTAAAGAAAATGCCCCACTGTAAGCAAAGAACATAAGCCAGACTCACTTAATGAAATAAGGCTCAGATTCACAGCCTAAAAGGCTTTGACTTCTACAAAGTCTTTTACCCGAAGAAGCATTAGAAAGCTGGCATGGATTAATAGAAAAGATTTGGAGCAAATCGATTCAAAAACTGGATCAGACGTTGACCCAGTATCGCATTTGTGACAGACTTTCTCAGCCATCAGCCTGAGAGGACCTTTGGAGGCAGAGTAGAAAAAAAAATCCAAATGAGTACTTTAATAGGGAAGGCAAGCTATAGAAATCAAGAGAAAAAAATATCCAAAATATATAAGGAAATTAAGACCTACAGGCAATAAAACAATATTCTGAAAATTAGTTTACTCAAGGAAATGTGAAAATAATTGTGAAATTCGAAAATGAATTTAAATTAGCATACGTAGGCTCTAAAATCAATGAAATAAAGCAAGCTGTAAAATATAACAATAAAGTACAAAAAGCGAAGAATGAAAGGAAGGAAAAGAAAAAGAAAGGAAGGATATAAGATTAGATGAATGTACAAAGTAAATGCAGATCTCAAAATGAAAAATATAACGATTTCAATAAAAAAAAATCTGTCAGTTTCCAGTGAGTGTAAATAAAGCATAATATATGTGACAAGGAAGTGAAACTGTAGAACATCATCATGAATATTATCAGCATGAAGATACTATATTAATACAGCAATTTGAGTGACAACAGACTTCTCATCAGCAATAGGTTCAAAGGAACACTGATTAATCCAAAGGGCTGAAGTATGTTAGAAGTAGAAGTCTGTATTCTGGAAAGACAGCAGGCTAGAGTTAAAGCAAAATTAAAAGTATTTTGAGACATATACCTAATAAGTGATTTTAAGCCTTTTCCAGTTTGCCTTGAGAATGCTCACCAGTAGCACTTGTGACTGCAGTGCTTACCCAGAGATAACTTTGCCACACAATAGCTCGCTTTTATTATTTTCACTTTGCTCTGGTATATCAACTTTGGAAACAAAAGACATCATTCTATTTATAGCATTCTGTTTTTAGTAGTATTTCTATTTACAAAATATACTAATTCTTGATCGTTGAAGATGTTAAATCTTAGAAAGTGTAGCATTCCTATGTGTGATGTTAACATCATTCTCAAATGTTTGTTGGCTAACGATTCATTTGATGAATCGGATTTTTCCCAAATAGACAACGCTGATGATTCCGATGATTCTGATGTCACTTCTGTTTAGAAATAACTCCAGGAACAGTTTTTTTTTAAATTTTTTCACATTGAAAAATCAGTCAGATTTGCTTCAGTCTCAAAGAGCATATTTAAGTAAAATTAAATAAACACAGGCAGTGAGCTGCACTTTTTTTTTTTTTAATGGGCAAAGTGTTAATACATACAGAATTTCTCTGAAAGAAGTATTAAGTGATTAACTTTAATAAACAGAAGTTCACCATTGAGGAAACAATGGAATGGATGCATCTATAATAATAAAATATGCTGATAAAATTGACTGTTAAAAAAAAGTGTAACTCTAATTTTTAAAATAGTAACAAGGAATGTGGGACGGCTTGAGAAAGGAACTTTAAGTGACTAATAAATGAAACAATGATTTTTCTTAACTGTAGGAAGCATGCTACTGAATAATTTAGACTTCAAAATTAAATATATGTATCAATTAGAAAGGTAACCAATAAATAATAGAATTACAATGAATTCTTTTCAAATTTCCTCCCAAATTTTAATAACAATGAATATTATGGAGAAAACAAATTTGTCAATAAAACAGAGGCAGAAAGAGAGAAAGAAGAAAGGAAGGAAGGAGAAAGAAAGAGAAAGAAAGGGAAGAAAGAAGAAAGAAAGAGAGGAGGAAAGAAAGGAAGGGAAAGGGAAAGAAGAAGGAGGAAGGAAAGAAGGAAGAAGAAGGAGGAAGGAAAGAAGGAAGGAAGGGAGGGAGGGAGGAAAAATAGAACAAAGGTAAAATATGATCAGGACAAACACAAAAGGTGATAGTGGAGTAAGTTAGATAAATTAGGAATTATGTAATTCTGACACATTAAGCAAAGTTATCAAAAAGTAGAGACAGATTAGTTTTACAAATCACCTATATGCTTCTTAGAAAATTATTTTAAAAATTCAACACAATTTAATAAATGAAGGAAAATAATATAATTCGTTGGATACTCTGTTTTTCCATATGACTTTTAGGAACGTTTCGTTTAAGTCTTTTAAAAAGTTGGCAATTTCACAAGATATATATGTATGTATATGTGTATGTATGTACATATATATAGAATGTTATATATTTATATATAGTGAAATATGTATACACTGAAAAATATATATATTAGAAGAATTTATAGCACTAGGTTATTCCAGTCTAAAACATGATGGCTTTTCAATTATTTATATCTTGTTTCAGATTCCTCAATACAATTTCATAGTTTTTGTAATAAAGTCATAAAATTTCTTATTGAACATGTTACACAATAAAGTTGTTAAAAAGTATTGTGAATACTTTTTAGCATTCAAATTCAAATTCTTGGGAATTTGTGGGTTTTCTTAATTCTAGGAAATTTTTAAAAATTGATTAAATTTGGATTATTAAACTTTTATCTAGGGTCTTTACTTTGTTAATTTTTTCTCTTTAATAGAACCTAGAAGATTTGCAAGGTTAAAACAATTATAGGATTTTTTCAGTGAGATCATTATCTCCTTTATTCCCAATTGTCACTTATCCTTGACTTACTACATTTTCTAGTGTACTCAAGACAATGCTGAGCAATAATAGTTACCTAAATTATCCTTCCCCTTTCCAGATATTAATTGAAATACTTTTAGTTGCCACATAGAGAAACGTTTCGTTAAAATAAAAGGTAAATGTTATTTTTATATTTGTTTCCCTTCTTTCTTTCTTTTCTTTTCTGTTTCCTTTTTTTTTTTTTTTTTTTCTTTTTTGAGACAGGGTCTTGCTCTGTCACCAGGCTGGAGTGCAGTGGCATGATCTTCTTGGCTCACAGCCACCTCTGCCTCCAGGCTCAAGTGATTCCCCTGCTTCAGTCTCTGGAGTAACTAGGACTACATACAGGCACATGACACTATACCCAGCTATTGTGTTTTTTTTCTATCCTTATTTTATTTAAGATCTTTATTAGAAGGTCGTGCTGAAATGAAAACATCGCCATCTTTTTATTCTATAGATTATAGAAAGAGGAAAATAATTTAGGAAAATTCAAAATTTTAAAATGATTTAAATAAAATCTAACAAACTACGAACACTGAGAAATCCCTTAACTTGATAATCTACCTCAAAAACCTACGGATATTAAAATATTAAGCAAAGAAACTTTAGAGACATTTTATTTTAAATAGAGAAGCCAACAAAGGCACTCTTATTAGTATTTTCCAATAAACCCTAAAAACTGAATGAAAATAATGAAAGAACACAGAGGAAGAGATAAAAGTATTGTTATTCAAAGGCGCTACATTTTTTACTTAGAAAAAACATCAAAGATATACAACAGGTAAAGCAAGCTCTCTAACGCATGGCCTGTGGGCCACATGATGCCAAGTATGGTTTTGAATGCGGCCCAATACAAATTCGTAAACTTTCTTAAAACATTATGATTTTTTTTGTAATTATTATTCTTTAGCTCACCAGCTATCGTTAGTGTAAGTGTATTTTATATGTGGCCCAAGACAACTCTTCTTCCAGCGTGGCTAGGGAAACCAAAAGATTGGATACCCCTGAAAGTTTAGTCTTCTAAAAGTTTATATGGTGCCAGAAATAAGAAAAAGTTATCGATCAATGACATATCTGTTCATCAGCAAAAGCAGTTACAACACAATAAATTCTTCAGTGTTCCTAAAAATGTGCAAAAATGTAGTTGATAAAATCTTTTTTGGATAATAAAGTGTATCCTAGACAAAAAACAAAATATATTTATACCATGTGTAAAGATAATTCAATACCCTAATGCTGTCAATTATAATCAATTTATTCTATAAAAACAAAGTTAATATAGTCACCAAGTTTTTACTTTTCTAGAACTGGAACAATTTTTCAAAACCTCTTAGGGTTGAGTGAATGCCCAAAAATAGTCAAAATAATTCTGAAAAAAATTGTAAGGAAGAGTAATGCACTGCCAAGTATTAAAACTTACTATAAAACTATAATATCAAAACTTGTTACAAATAATCCAGTATATTGTTGGGGGAGAGATAAATATACAAAATTATATTTAAAAAACTCAAAAGGTAAAAGCAAAAAATTCTCAGTTTCAGACCCAAACATATATGAGGTTTTGCATATCATACAAAAGGTAATATAAATCAGCAGAGAAAAGATGGGCTATAGACTTTGGCAGGTATCACTAATCTTCCCCAATATCCAATTCTCTTTCCCTTCTTGTCACATCGAAGTCTATTTTGGGGGGTGCGGGGGCACATTTTTGCTGTTGGTTAGACCATGTGATGAGTTGTGGCCAAAGAAATATCAAGTGAGCTGGTGTGAAGTACTAAAAAGTTCATGGAAAGTCCCCTACTTTCTTTCTTCCATAAATACAGCCATTATGAATGGGGCTCTGAGGCATTGTATGAGAAAATCTACTTTAGAGAGAGTTACAGTAAATGACAGCAATCTTTAGAAAAGGAGAAATAACATTTTCATTGTACATAAACACAAAGATTGAGAAAATTGTTAGGTGCCACACTATAAAAGAGCCTGTTCTGCTTATATATACATGCTATTCAAATAATCAGTTATATTTATGGTTAAAATCAAATGAGATATAAATACACATACTTACATTCATAAATTTGAGGGACTGAAAACAGAGTTCATAAAGCAGGGGGCTGATATAGGAAGCAACAGAAGCTCAGAGAAACCCTGTGATGGTGTTGTAGCTAAAAGAGATTTTAAGAAAGGTGATGCCTACTGTTTTGAAATTGATTCTTTTAGAGAACATGTCCTTTTTGCTTATCTGCCAGTTACACAAATGACTTGATATAAAATCATAGAAAGGGCTAAACCTCATATAGATGCCAGATAGTAAATATCAAAACAGTATATATTGAAGCAAGAGTCTATCACTTAAAGCAATTAAGAGATTGGAAGTTAAATAGAAATTTGCAAAAATGTGAAGGTCTTTGGAATTCTTTAAGCCATGGTAAGGAGAGTTATAGGAGAAATGCTGATTGATTTTTTTCTTTAAGATCTTAGGGGATAATGGAGTTGTAGCTAGCAGTTAAATTATTGAAATAAAACAATGGAGAAAGAAAAAAAAAGATTGTGTTTTTAGAGGATAAATTCCATAGACACATAGTGACCTGGCCAGTGACACCGCAGTCTGTTGTAGTCACCTGGCTGAGGAGAGAATAAGAACAATAACAAATAGAGCCAAAGCATCATTCATTTTCATTTACTTGGTGAATTGACCTTAGTTTCATCCCTGGCAATCATACTAACCTCACCATCTGTGCAAAGCAAATGCAGTGTGGGAGTCAGGAGTTCATGCTCTAATATTGCTTTATCAGTTTATTTCACAGATAATGGCACCTTAATTATTATCAATGACCTGCATGCCATTCCTTACTATTCCTTCTTAGATATGTCTTTCTGAGTTATTCAAATTGTACTGGTGTTTTCCAATCTGATTCTTCTAGGAACTAATACCTACATTTCTGTAAGACAGAAGAATTCTTCTATAAGACAGAAGAATTATCAGACTGGTTTTTCAGAAAATAAATTATTTATGTTATTTTCTAGTAAGTTTTTGATAGTTTCAACTAAAAATAATAGATTCTAAAGAATTTTCTAAGTTAAAAAAGAAAATAGACAAGAAAGAAAATGTCTGGCAATGCTAATTTGGATTAAATTTGTTTAGAAAAAACACATTATACAATCTTTGAAGTAGAATCTATTATGGTTAAAGAAAAGCACTTGGATTATCTGGTTCATAATTTATATTTTAAACAGAAGTAAAAGCACACTTATTCTCCATACTTATTTATTTATATCCATTCATTTTTCATCTTAGTCGTGATTTTCAGAAAAGACTCCCATAATCGTAAGTAGCTTTAATCTCCATACATTGAAATATCAGTGAGAAATAAACACTTCCCGTTTAATGGCTTTAACTAGAGAAATGCTTATGTTGATTAATGTCTATCAAGTTTTCCTTGATTTACTTGAAATGTGTTTTTTCTATAAATGAATAAAACACTAATGACTCGGGGCTGGGCACGGTGGTTCACGCTTGTAATCCCAGCACTTTGGGAGGCCAAGGCGGGCGGGATCACTGAGGTCAGGAGTTTGAGACGAGCCTGGCCAACATGGTGAAACCCGGTCTCTACTAAAAATACAAAAATTAGCGAGACGTGGTGGCAGGCGCCTGTAATCCCAGATACTCAGGAGGCTGAGGCAGGATAATAGCTTGAACCTAGGAGGCAGAGGTTGCAGTGAGCCGAGATCGTGCCACTGCACTCCAGCCTGGGTGACAGAGCAAGACTCCATCTCAAAAAAAAAAAAAAAAAAAAAAAAATTAATGACTCACACCTATGAGTGTGTGGGATGATTTTTCTCCTTTCTTTTCTCTCATGATCTGGTTGCTAAATATGATTTATCCCACAGAGGGACATCATGGATTGATTTTCCAAGCTCATTCAAAAGTCCCCACAATTTCAGAGAAAACCTTTCTGAACACATTGGGAATCTTAAATAATTGCTTTGCTCTAGCCTTTATTTGTGACAAAAAAAAAAAAAAATGTTACCTTTGCAGATGAACTTATTTCCCTGAGTTTTAATTCTAATGCTACAGAAGCCAGATCAATGACAAAGTGAAAATATAACTTTTGTGAGAGATAAATTAGAAAGTATTTTTAAATATTGGTAATGTATTAAAAAGTCTGTTTTGATCCTAGCTTTTTTTAAAAAAAAAATGGCTAGATGATATTTGTCTCCCCTACTGAAAACAAAACAAAATGATCCACTTACTTTCATTTAACAGTCCCCCGCGCAAAGATGTAGGCAGTCCATTTTAGGTCACATGTAATGCCCAGGTTTAACACTTTTCACCAAATTCTCTAGATTATATTGCACCAAAATCTTAGAACTAAATTTACATTAGTTTGTAACTCTTTTTATCTATGGCCTGTAAATCTAATTTAAGATGTTTTTATATTAACAAAATTCCAAATTAATGTGCGTTTTAAAACAACCTCCCAACAGTCACCCCTCTAATATTTTCATAATTACTAATCATCTGTAGTTCTGTGAATTGATTGTTCACTTCCATTGAACATTTGTCTCCTCAAGTTGAAAAACCATTAGTTAATTTAATAGAAATGCAGTTAACAAGCATCCTTCCTGGGATATATAGATTTATTTTGCAGCAGGATGAGCTGTGGATAAAACCCCACAGACACCAAGATAGTGAAGGAAGTGGCTTTAATCAGCTGGAAGCATCGGCAGACTAACGTCTTAAAATCTGAGCTTGTCAGGTGCCCAACTTCTGTTTAAGGGCTCACAACTCTAAGGGGGTCCGCGTGAGAGGGTCATGATCAATTGAGCAAGCCAGGGGGTACGTGACAGGGGCTGCAAGCACCGGTGGTCAGAGTGAAACAGAACAGAACGGGAGTTTTCACAATGTCCTTCCATACAATGTCTGGAATCTATAGATAACATCAGTTGCTACGTCAGGGGTGGAATTTTAACTACCAGGCTTAGGTCAGGCAGGCCCAAGCCTGGTTTTGGGTCTGGTTCCTAGGCGCCGGGCTACCTGCCTTTTGTTTCGCTTTTCTTTCCTTTTCTGAGTACAAAACAATGTGAGAGGGTCTGTCTTTCTCTCAGTTTAATTAAGTGAAAAGTCCTTTTTGTTTTTTAAAAGGAGCCACGTGCATGTCTTAGGTTAATCTTAAAACAAATTGTTTTGATAATCATTCAGAACATGTATATAAAGTTTCCATAAGATCAAACATCTGCCTTCCCTCATCTGTGACACTTTGGAGGAGTTGACTGTAGCGTTGTATTAAGGAGTGTGGATCCAGGAGTTGATTGCTGGCGTTTGACAGCTGGATCTACTGCTTATTATGTCTGCGTCTTGAGTTGAGGCACCTAATCTATCCCCATTGTGGTTTTTTCCTTTGTAATTATTATCATACACATTATTTGTACTCTTTACCGAACTAAGAAATAAGAATGTCCCCAAAAGGATTTTTTAAATGGTATTATGCAGTCACAATAAAATTTAGCAGTGAGGCACTTTAAGCTACTATTCCAGAAAAAAATAGATAAAAATTAATCTTTTCTTATAATTAGAAAAATGGACCAGCTTTTTACAAGTGTTTTATCTATCTGCAGTGAAAAGAGATGTAAGACTGCAGATTTGCATATTAAATGCCTGCACTATAAATCTCAAAACATTCAGTTCTCCAATACTAATTATTTCATTATGAAACCATAGCATAATTCCTAAAACTTTGAATATTCACAAAGATGTTTAAGTTTTGCAGAGTTGAGCTGGATATCAATTAGTCAACAAATACCACTTGAGAATAATAGGTAGAAGTCTCTTTCTTAGAAACCAGGATGAATTAAAGAGGCACAAGACAAGATAAACCTTTAAATGTCTTTCAAAGTACTTGGGGAAATAAGACACATTAAAAGAAATAATGATAAAAAGCAGCAAATATTTATTAAATTAACCATTTAGAAATCTAGTTACAATGTCCATACATTTTAAACATGGGCTTTTATATTATTTATGATTTGTGAAAGATGTATTAAAACTCAAAAGATTTGTTTTTGAGTTTTCAAAAGGTCATAGAGCAGTACAGACCTGGATTCAAATTCTGGCTGTACTACTTAGTAGCTATATCTTATAGGGAAAGTAGCTTAACATTGTTTAATGTTGGTTTTCTTAACTGTACAAGGGGATAATAACATAAGGTTTAGGGTTAATTAGATAAATTAAATAGTACACTGCTTGGTCCACAGTAACGGTTCAATAAATTATCATCCACTGTGTGCCAGGTAATGTGCTAGACCATTATGACCCTGGCATGGATAATCCAATGTGAAATGCACAGTTTACTATTGACCATATATATTTATCCTCATTAGTGAAAACAAAGTGGCTTTCCCTTTGTTCTTCAGTAGAATTACTAATCTTTGTTGAATAAGGAATTCCTGGTGTTACTGCTCTGGGGCACTACGAAGAATTGTTCATGAATGAAACAGCTATTACACAGTTCAGTTCATATAAATTGTTTTGGTGAGTTAATAATTCCTCAAAGACCATAGTCTCTCAGAGTGAGGGGGGTGTGTGTGTATCTGTGTGTGTGCGGACACGCATGTGAGTGTGTGTGTGTTTGTGTGTGTGCATAGCATGTAGCCTATCCCAAATTTGGTGGAAATCTCTTTAGCCACTTTGGAAGGATACTGTAGCAGACAGACTGAAACTCATCTGATTATATAAGTAATTAATTTACATGAACCAGAGTCTGTTCTGAGAAATTTGGTAATCATGGTTTATGTAACTAACTGTAGGAAACTAGAGGAGAACCAAATCTCTGTGAGTTTCTGTGAACACTGAACAGGGGCTAGAAGGGGTGAGAGAGAATTTAGGGAATTTAAACTGCCAGTGAGAAGGAATGACAATTTCTTACAGAGTAGATAGAAATCTGTCTTTGCTTCAAATTAACAAATATTTATCAAATTACCAATAAATATCAGATGGTGTGTTAAGTACTGGGGATATAGCAGTGAAAAAAAAGACATTCTGTGCCTTAAGGGAGCTTTCATTTAAGTAAAAATAAGACAGAAACTGGTAACTATAATATTAATAACCAGTATTTTTATGGGATAACAACAGAGGAAGTGTAGATAACATGGTGCTGTGGGACCCACGGCAAGAGCACTTAACATCACTGTCAGGAATCACAAGAGACTTTCAGAAAGAAAGAGGAGTCTGAAGAGATGCAGCACAGGGCTGGACAGTCAGTAGATGAACTACATATTTAGTAAGTCCAAGTATCTTTCCAAGTGTACTGGAATGAGTGGTCAGCAATTTGTAACTCTCATTTTTCTGACATATTTGACTTTATCAGAGAATGGGACTTTTCTCTTTTTCCAACTTTTTGTTTTGTTTTGTTTTTATAGCTCATGACACTTTTCTTTAACAATTGTCTCAATTATCAAAGATACTACCACAGACATCAGTGTCCCCCCCCCGCCCCAAACCCTTGCCCTCACCCCTTGGGACAGATTTCATGAATATCCTTTGCCAGTCAAGTTTTTTAAGTAACTGGAATAGCCTAGCATGTGATGCCGTTATATAATTATTGTCTAGATTTTACTTGGAACTTTTTGTTAGGGCTCTATTTCTATCAGCATTGACTCATTCTTTTTTTATAGCTTTTCTTAATGCTTACAGGAAAGCACCTTTGATTTACCTCTGCACTGTGCATGTGTAAATGTTCTGAAACACAGGTCAGATGTGCAGCATCATTTAAAAGTGTTCTTTTGTGCATAATGCATAGGCATTAGGAATGAGGTAGAGAGGGAGTCTCCTCAGTGAAGATGAATAGCTTTTACATGAATAAGGGCAGTAAATTATTAAAATTCTCTACTCCAAAAATGATTAAATATAATGGGTTTTCAAATGTTGAATAAAACATCTTAATTCAGACCACTGTACCAAAAATTTAAAAAAAAGATTACCGTAAAAAATCCAAAATGTTAGTGAAATATATGCAGGTGTTCAACCAAATGGCCCAAAACATAACTATTATTTTGGTTTTGCTTAAATGTTCTTCATAATTTAAAAAGCTACTATATTTTTACACACATATTATGGTAATATCAGAGGTGTTTTATGGAATATGGAGATTTCCATATCACTACGTGAATTTCTACTTCGTTTAATATTAACCTTTCAGTTATACACTGGGTTGCATCTTGTCTAATGTAATGGATCACTCTCTCAGCCTCTGGAATCCCAATAATCATTGAATCCTGTCATTTCTGCTTCCTAAATAATTTTTAGATCATCCATTTCTTTTCTTTTTTATTTTCACAATCTTAGTACATGTTAGATTCTTTGTCACCTGGAAGATGGGCATTGTCTCCAGATTGATGGCTATCAGAGCATAGAGCAGAGTTGTGATTCAATTTGCCAAGTTTATCTTTTACTTGTTTCAGTAATGCCTGCATTCCAAGTGAGGTATATTTGTGAAATGTTTCACAGGAAAGTACATTTTCCCATCATTTATATGGTTTGAATAGGACTGATTTTGCTAAAGAATATGAAAAGATGTAGATATGGTAATAGAAGCAATACCTAACATATAATGAACAGTTTACACTTGCCAAGCTCTGTTCCAGAGGGCTTTACTTACATTATGTCGCTTAATTCATACCACAACTTTCTGCGGTAAACTTGATAACTAACATTACTTTATAGAAAAGAAAACTAGGCATAAGAAGGCTAAGTAACCTGTCACACAGTTAGGTGGTGGAAATTTTTTCCTTTTTGTTTTTTAGGGGCACCTGCCAACATAATGATTACGAGCAAGACATTCAGAGCTTGCAGACTTGTGTTAAAGTCCTGCCCCATTTTTTAGTACAGTAACTGCTACTGAGGCCTCTCTCCTTGGTTAGAAGACGGTTGTCTTCTTGCTGTGTCGTCACATCGTCTTTCCTTTTGCATACATACTATGTCCTAATCTCTTATAAGAATATTGGTCATAGTAGATTAGAGCCTTCCCTTGCAAACCAATTTTACGTTAATTACCTCCTTAAAGGCCTTATCACCAAACATATTCACTGTCGGAAGCACTGGGGTCTGAACCTCAACATGAATTTGGATGGGAAACAATTCAGCCCATAAAAACATATTTGCAGCGTTTACTCATTTGAATAAATTATTTGCCCTCATGTAACTGAGCTCTCTCATGTGGTATTATATTCATTGTTATAAATATGATATACATTCAGAATGCTCTTCTTGTAAAGAAGAGACAATCATCCACAAGGCGTAGACTTTGCCATTATAAAAACCATTCCCACACACTGGTCCCCTATTCCATTACATCACCATCCTTCCTCACATAGTTAAGGAAGAAATTATTTATTCGTTAGGATTTCAGACAATTTGAATACCCTTTTGGTATTACTAATGACACTGACATCAAACAAAGGTTAGACCCTCTTGGATTGTTCATTCTGTGGGAAGCCAATTGTGATGTGCTGAAGATACTCAAGCACCATAAAGGGATGTGGAGAAGAGGAGGTCCCCTGATCTCAACCAGCATCAACAGGCACACATGTGAGTGAGCCTCCAGCCCCAATTAATTTTTCAGATGTCTGTAGCCATTTCAAATCTTGACAACAACCCATTTGAGACCCCAAACTGTAAAAATCCATCTAAGATATTTCTGATTTCCTGACCTAAGAAACTATGATATAATACATGTTTAATGTGTGTGTTTCATGTACATTCATATGTTTTATGTGCATTATTGGCCTTTACTTATACCTGAAGCAATTTTGCATAACTGAAGTTTGATAGAAAGATTTTATGATATGTAATTAGAACATAGGAAATTCACCACATAAGTTATTTCCAGCTATTATTAATTATTATCTTACATTTTCACTGAACATACTATGAATTTTTAAAAGTTTTCATACATTTTGTTATTGGTTTTTTGCTTATTCACAAAATTGCAAAGTAATATTTTAAATCAAAGAGATGGAGCAAGATGAGGGTGATGGAATGAAATATGGCATAGAGAAAGGGGAGATGAGTTGGCAGGGGAAGGAGAAGGAGATCAGAAAAAGAAGAGTGTTAGATGAGGAAAGAGATTTTTGTAAAAGGGAGGAGGGAAAAACAGGGAGAGGAAAAGGACAGATATTTTCAAAATCAAGAAAATGGAATCAAAGCATCCTGATTAGATCTGTGTTTAAATAGCCTAAGATAAACCATTATAAAAATGTACATGTTATACTGGAATTTTTAAAAAATGTTCTTTCCCCACAGGATGCTTTGTGATTTAAATTTTATTCATTATTATATAAAAACGCAAGAAAATCATAATTAATTTTAATTTTAATTGTCTTTTTATTTTGTTTATTTGATAAGATAGAGGGGAAGCTGGTGGCAAGGTAAGAAGGCAGGAAAGAAGAAAGAAAGATGGGATGGGAAAGTGAAAGAAAAATAAAAGAGATGGAGGTAGAAACACACACATACGCACACACACAAAGTTCTGAGAAAATAATTATTTGCTCCCTGCCTGAATATGGGAAAGTATTAAAGATGGCATCTCTAATCTTTTTTTTTTTTTTTTTTTTTTTTTTTTTTGAGACAGAGTCTCGCTCTGTCGCCCAGGCTGGAGTGCAGTGCACGATCTCGGCTCACTGTAAGCTCCGCCTTCCGGGTTCACGACATTCTCCTGCCTCAGCCTCCCGAGTAGCTGGAACTGCAGGTGCCCCCACCACACCCGGCTAATTTTTTGTATTTTTAGTGGAGACGGGGTTTCACCGTGTTAGCCAGGATGGTCTCGATCTCCTGACCTCGTGATCCGCCCGCTTCGGCCTCCGAAAGTGCTGGGATTACAGGCGTGAGCCACCGTGCCCAGCCCAGCATCTCTACTCTTAAGACTCAGGATAAAAATCTTTACCTCAGTGTGATCACAATTCTCCCATAGTTAAAGGAATGACTGATCTTATCATTAAACACGTAATGTTTGTTAAATGAATGAATAATGCATGTACACAGAATTTAAACACAGTAAATATTAAATGAATAGTAATTTCTATTCTTATTAACAGGTATATTTTTATGTAAGCTATTAGTAATTAAATTCACAGGCAAAATATATTTTAGAATAGGTGGCTTACATGAAGCTGAAAAGGGTCCCCTATGCATTTAAAATAAGTACATAAAGAAAAACTATTATAAAATGTATCATTAAGATGATGATCCCTGATTGTTTAAGTTATTTAATCTGGAGTAAAGTAACAGATAACATAACTGACATCCAAAGAACAATGATCTTGCCTTACTCACTTATTTCCCACAATAGAACCTAGGAATGTGCCTGAGATACATAAGGTGCTCACCAAACGTTTCCTGGATAAAGAATTACAGGGCTGTGTGTGTATTTGTGTGTGTGTGTGTGTGTGTGTGTGTGTGTGTGTGTGTGTGACTACCAAGTAGAAGTAAGTGCCTCAGTCTGAGCAATAAGAAAATTTAAATAACTCTTGGTTGTAGCCATTTCACTAAAGGGAATAAGCTCTCTAATCATGGCAAATATCTTTCATGGTTACTTGCCATTCCTCTCCTTTTACGTCCTTAACCATAACCCATCAATGTCTTTAATGATAACACATGAGCCAATGGAAATCTGAAGATACAAGTTAATTTCTGTAATTTTCCTATGATTTAAATAATTCAGAAAGATGATAGCAGTGACAAAAAGGTGCTCACATGATTTAGAAAATAGCCAGCAGCCTCATATTTAAGTCTTCTCATTTTATGCACTCCTGCTGAATGATACCTAGAAGTTTGCAGATCTCAGGCAGTGCTATTATTAATTTCCTGCTAGCATTTACAGCAGGATCATCTATAGTCATGGACTTTACACTTATGAACTCTTAAAGTGTCTGGCAAGCTCTGCTGGCTGTATTCTGTTATAACAGAATGCATAGACTGGGCAATTTATAAACAACAGAAATGTGTTTCTCACAGTTCTGGATGCTGGCAAGTCCAAGATCAAGGTGCAGGTAGATTCAGTGTCTAATGAGGGCCCACTTCCTAGTGCACAGAGGGCCATGTGCACACTGAGTGCTCACATGGTGGAAGGGAGCAAGGGAGCTCTCTGGAACCCTTTTCATAAGGTCACTAATCTTATTCATGTGTCCCCTGCCTTCATAACCTAATCACTTTCTGAAATCCCCACTTCTAAATGCCATGACACTGGGTGTTAGAATTTAACATATTAATTTGGGAAGATACAAATATTCATTCAATAGTATCGAGGCTCCACTCAGAACCCTATGTGTCCTGTTGAATGTACAGGCTGGACTGAATGAAGGAGGCAAAGAAGAGCCCTAACAATGATTTCATACTTTCCTATCATCAAGGGAATTATTTTCATATTATTGTTATTTTTTTATTCCTTCAAGTTTGTCCAAACTGAAATAGATTCAGGGCTAGACAGAACCAATACAATACTAAAAGTAATTCAGGTGACATAATGTATTAGGCCATTCTTGTATTGCCATAAAGCAATACCTGAGACTGGGTAATCTGTAAAGAAATCAGGCTTAATTGGCTCATGATTCTGTAGGCTTTACAGGAAGCATGGTGCTGGCATGTGCTCAGCTTCTGGGAAGGTCTCAGGAAGCTTGCAAAAGTTGGGGGCAGAAGGAACATCACATGGTAAAATCAAGAGCAAGGAATGGAGAGGTGCCACACACTATCACGAAGACAGTACCAAGCCTTGAGGAATCCATGCCCAAACACCTCCCACCAGGCCCCACCTCCAGCACTGAGGATTACAATTCAACATGAGAGTTGGGTGGGAACACACACCCAAACTATTAATATATCATTTTCCCCCAGCACCTCCCAAATCTGATGCCCTTCTCACATTGCAAAATACAGGCATGCTTTCCCAACAGTCCTCCAAAGTTTTAACTTATTCCAGCATTAACTCAAAAGTCCAAATTCTTATTGGAGACAAGGCAAATCTCTTCCACCTATGAGCCTGTTAAATCAAAAACAAGTTAATTACTTCCAAGATACAATGGGGCATAGGGATTGGATACACATTCCTTTTCCAAAATGGAGAAATCAGCCAAAAGAAAGGGGCTACAGTTCCCATGCAAGTTCAAAACGTTTCAGGGCAGCCATGAAATCTTAAAGCTACAAAATAATCTCTTTTGACTCCATGCCCCACATCTGGGGCACACTGGTGCAAGGGGTGGGCTCCCAAGGACTTGGGCACCCCTGAGCCTTTCACTTTGCAGGGCTCATCTCCCAGGGCTGCTGTCATGGTTGCTGAGTGCCTGTGGCTTTTTCAGGCAAAGGGTGCAAGCCACCAGTGGATCCACTATTCTCGGATCTGGAGGCAGTGGCCCCCTTCTGACAGCTCTACTAGGCAGTGCCCCAGCAGAGACTCTGTGAGGAAACTCCAACCCCACATTTCTCCTTGGCACTGCCTAGTAGGGGTTCACTGTGGGGGCTCCACCCCTGCAGCATGCTTCTGCCTGGGCATCCAGGCTTTTCCATACATCTTCTGAAATCTAGGTGGAGGGTGCCAAGCCTCATTCAGTCTTGTACTCTGTGCACCTACTGGCTTAACACCACATGGAAGCAGGCAAGACTTATGGCTTTCGCCCTCTGAAGCAGTGGACTGGGTTGTACCTGTTGTCATCTGAGCTGAGGTTGGAGCTAGAACAGCCCGGATGTGGGGAGAAGTGTCCCAACACTGCAGAGAATAGCAGGGCCCTAGGCAGGCCCACAAAACCATTCTTCCTCTTAGGCTTCTGGGCCTGTGATGGGAGGGGCTGCTACAAAGTTCTCTAAAATGCCTTCAAGTCCTTTTTCCCATTGTCTTGGATGTTAGCAGTTGGCTCCCTTTTAGATATGCGTATATCCGTAGTACCTGGTTTCTCCACAGTCTACTTGAATTCCTCACTGAAAAACTTTTTGTTTCTCTGACACATGGACAGGCTGTAAATTTTCCAAATTTTTATTCTCTGCTTTCCTTCTAAATATAAATTCCTACTTTAAGTCATTCCTTTGCTCCTGCTTTGAATTAGGTTGTTAAAAGTGTTCAGGTCATATTGAAGCAGTGTCATTGTCTGTGGTAAATACTCAAGGTTTATTGTCTCATGCCAAGGAAATCAAGCATGTGGACACACAAGGAGTGAGGTTAAGAGTGGAGGTTTAATAGGTGAAAGAAAGAGAAAAGCTCTCTCCTGCAGGGAGAGGGGTCCCAAGCGGGTCTTCCAGTCTATGGTGAAGTGCAGGAGATTTTATAGATGAGCTTGAAGAGGCAGTGTCTGATTTACATAGGGCACAAAAGATTGGTGGGACCAGGTATGCCACTTGCATAAGGCATGAAAAGCTGGTTAGGACTAGGTGTGCCATTTGTATAGTGTGTAAAAATCTAGCTGCCCCCGCCCTAATTTTTTATTATGCATATGGGTTCTCTATCTGGCCAGCACCATGTTGCCTGCTTCTTTACTGTACACGTGGTGACAAAGAAAAGGGAAGATGGAGCCTCCATGTTGAACATACCTGGCTTCCAGTTTGCTCTTTTCTATTAGCACAGATGCTCTGATTCACCTGTGCAAGCTTCCAGCTTGCTTATCTATATTTGCAGCTCAATTTTTCAGGCTGCTCTTTGTTAGAAAAGAAATGATTTTAGGGGCTGCTTTTTGCTACAAGGGAGATTCTGCCAAGGACTCTGTTGCCCTTACTATCTGCCTAAATAATTTCTTTCTATCTCCTGTATCAATATCTTGACTGCTTCACAGCTTAGGAATTTCCTCCACCAGATACCTTACATTATCACTATTTCATTCAAACTTTAGCAGATCCCTAGGGGGATCTGAATAGCACACAGCCAAGTTCTTTGCAAAGGCATAAGATGCGTGACCTTTGCTCCAATTCCCAATAAGTTTGTCATTTATATTTGTGACCTTGTCACCGTGGACGTCACTGTCCATATCACTATCAGCATTTCAGTCACAACCATTTAACCAGTCTCTAAGAAGTTCCAAATTTTCCCTCATCTTCCTGTCTTCTTCTGAGCCCTCAAAATTCTTCCAACCTCTGCTCATTATCCAGTTCCAAAGCTGCTTTCACATATTCAGGTATCTTTATAGCAATGCCGTTCTCAATTTTCTGTAGTATGTTATGCTCCTCTTGTATTGCTATAAAGAAACACCTGAGACTAGGTGATCTATGAAGAAAAAAGGTTTAATTGGCTCATGGTTCTGCATCCTTTACAGGAAGCATGATGCTGGCATCTGCTCTGCTTCTTGGGAGGCCTCAGGAAGCTCACAATTATGGCAGAAGGTGAAGGGGAAGCAGGCATGTCATGTAGTGAAACCAGCAACTAGAGAGAGAGTGGGCAAAAAGGTGCCACACACTTTTAAGTAACAATTTCTCATGAGAACTATCATGGGATCTGCCCGCATGATCCAAACACCTCCCACCAGACCCAACCTCCAGCACTGGAGATTACAATTCAACGTGATATTGAGGCAGGGACAAATAACTAAATGATATCATATAATTACTGTATTTCCATTATTTTTCACCTGAATTGAGTTAGATATAACTGTCCTGATGAAAGAGAAACAGTGACAGGCTGCTTCCCTCCTCAAGCTTGACAGATTGGGTTAAAGCTGTTTCCAGAAAAATTATATTTAGTTGAGTCTTGCATTCTTAAGGATAGAGTCATCTAACTGTATTATTTATAACTAGGGAGAAGTATTTATTTGAGAGATGCTTCCCATTCATAAAAAGATTTTCTTTAGCTGGTAGATTGTGAGATATTTTATGAATAGCAATATGGTTTTTATATAAATTATTAATTCAGACAAAACCATATTTCAGCTTCTCAATCTTCCAGTTATTAGTGTGAAAATTTGCAAATCTCAGCTCCTTTGCTGTGTATTCATTTGATTTGCATGATGCTGTGCAAACTAAGAAACTTCCTTCCAGCACAGTCCAATTTAATGTGGATGTTGTAGGGTGATGTTTAGTTTTTTCCTCCTAAAAGCATTTCCTGGTGCTTTATTCAATAAATGAAAATAATTTTACATACAACTTCCCAATTCATATTGATATTAAATAATAAATAAGAACTATCTGAAACATTTTTATTTTCTTCACTATAAGAAGGTATATCTAATTAGAATGCCAGCTTCTGTTTTTGCTGATTTTCAGTATTATTACAAAGATAGTGCATTCTTTACAGTTATCATGATTTAGATCTTCCTTGATTATTTTCTTCATTTGGTTCAATGTGCTAATCTAAGTTCTTTCAATTAAGTGATAAAAGTCCAACTTGAGTTTTATTTTTCTGACTTTATGCAGCCCTCTGATCCTTATGAAGTACATATCACATATCTTTTAAACAGAGGAAAGCCTGTCTATCATTCGCAAAGAGAATGATAAAGAAAACTTTATATGGCTAGCAAGACTATCTGACTGAGTTCAATTTCACAAACCATTAACACTCTGAAAGGAGAAATTAATTTGAATGTCTGTCATATTCTAGATAGGGGAACAAGGTATTGGGAAGTATTTTTAGTTGACTTCTTTTAGAAAGGACAGATGAATGGCAGATGAACGCATATTTTTGGTAAAAAGGGTGGATATATTTTCTAACTTAATTATTCATTAAGAATAGCAAACCTCTCCTCATTGCCCTTGGTATAGTACTATGATAAGTCCCAGAAAGCAATAAAGCCGAACAGAAATCTTTCTAATGAGCTCAGAGATAAATAAGAAGATGTACAAAATGTGGAATGGCATTCAAGTAGCTAGAAATAACATTCAAAGAGGTATGGAGTTATGAAATTAGTGTCAAGAATATTAACGAAGAGAAATAAGTACCCTTATATACATTGTAAAAACCCCAAAATTAAGCATATTAAGCAAATAAAAATAGCAACTGGGCAGAAATAGGCTGACTGCTTTGTCTGGTAGTCATTATTCACTGGATAATAAAGCCAGATGTTAACTGTTCTTCCTTCTCTATCTCTTCCTCCTTTTTCTTCTCCTCCTCCTTCTTGTATCCCTCCTACTATCTATCCCTTTTACGTTCTCTTTCAAAGTGAAGAAGGAACTTATGCTGAGAGAAACAGAACTTAAGAATCTTATGGCAGAATCAACAAGTATAATATACAATCTGAGATACCAGGTGTGAGTCCCAAAGTGAAACCAGGGTCAATTTGTGTGTGCTGATTAGTGGTAAAAAAAATAACACAGATGTTCTGCTACTTCTAGTACTATCACCACTGATATGCACAATAGCTATTTATTGAACACTTTGGCACTTAGAAATTAGGTCAATTTTTATCAGATTGCACGACTGCTAAGTGTCAGAATGAGAATGTTAAATGAAAGCCATCAGATTCAAAAGCCTATGCTCTTACCAAGTACAATGTATCACATTACAAGAAGATAGAAATAGTTGTTGCTGCTGTTGCTGTTTATGTTTTGGAGTGGTTGTTACTTCTTTAGCCAGAAGTCTAGAAATTTTTTAGACTTTAAATTTACAGCACCTCTCTTAGGGAGACTGAGATTGTGATAAGAAGAGATATTCCTGGGGAAGTTATGGTTGAATACTTGAAATTTTGTGATCAAGACCATTTCTTACTCCTAAAGTGTGACCGTAAAGGGAGAGTTTGGAGAAGGCTCTGTGATGTGCGTGAGGCCTGCAATCTCCTCCACGTTCTCCATCTTTATTTCCCTGCTCATGCCTTCTGAAGGCACTAGTTTTAGCAAGATTTGTCTCAAACGGTCCAGAACATAAACAGAACAGGAGAATTTTCCCTACTGCCCATTGTATGATCTATTCCTAGGAGAACAGATCTTGTTAATGACTTATGTGAAGAATTTAATGGCACAAAATTTCAGATTACCCATAGGGCTCAATATAATATTAATTAATAAATCAGGAGAGTACTCTTAACACAGTTGATTTATGAACAGAGTATATCAAGATTGAATATAGAACGATGTAACCAAAATAAGCATGAAGTTCTTTATTTGTATCCAGATAAATGACTATAAAACGTAAAATAATGTGACATGGCTTAGTAGGCACCTCCATGAAAATATAGAGGTTTTATATGTTTCACACTTCAACACTGTGAGAGTATGGGCTCTTGCATCAACAAAGATTAATTCAGATCAAAACGACAGAGCTATTTCACAGGATCTGAGTTCCTGTTTCCTCATTTGCACAGTAGATATAGCTATCTCACAAGAAGAAATAACCTATTAAAATGTATAAAGCTACTGGCATAAAGCAGCCAATCAAAACAATCAGCCATCGCTGCTTCTTTATCAAATCAATAAAGATTATACAAAGTGAGCCTATATTAAAAGAACTTAAGTGTTAAGTGCAAGGGCAATCAAAATCCTCCTTTTTTTAGTAGGCTGGAGCAAGCTGGAATGACTTTGGAGAGTTCTCATCTACCTAATAAGATGCTCAAAATCATGTCACATAGGAATCAGGGAGAAAATGATTATGTTAAAAGATGGAAAGTATGTACATTTGGTGAAAACCCATTGTTTTACAGGGCACATCATTGAAGCCTGATCTTTTTTCATAAGGAAAGAAAATTTTCCCCTAGCCCTGTTCACATCTGAACTAAAACCTCATTTTAAAGGCTCATCTTGGTATCTCAGAAGTATTAACTAGACAAAGGTTGGTGGTAGTTTGGATTGACCTAGTAAGATGCTATGACCAGTCATCAAAATGAAGCAGTAAGGAGAAGATGGAATACAAGCACATCCTAGAAGACCAAATTATTTGCCTTGTCAAACTTTAGCTGTGAGTCTGCCACCTTCTCTCTCTCTCTCTTTCTCTTTCTCTCTCTGATGAACTACACACACACATTCTTAAACCCTTTCAAAAAAAGAAATATAAAACATCAGGAGTGATGAAACCTTGACACAGAAGCTTACACTGATCATAGAAAGGAGAATTTTGTTTCCTGTCTTAACTAGAGGAGACACTTGCATGTTTTAGCTGATTAACCCTAGGCCTATAGATAGGGGTCACTGTTCTGCATTTCTTATCTATGCTGAGGCAGGGCAGAGTGAAAGGACAAGAAAACAGCGTATAGGACAGAAACTCTACCATTACATATTGAGAGCCTGCCCTTAACATACTGAAAACTTTTCAATCAAAAATATTAGCAATTTCATATTTGTTTATCAATTCTAACCTTAAATAAACAAGATAACTGCAAGAGAAGTTGCCATAAGAGAAAAACAAAGATGAATAAAGTATGTAGTTGTGTTATTATAAAATGTATTTTTACTTTTTTAAAAAAGCATGCTTTTAATGAAAATGAGCATCTTAATATGACAAGTCGGCTTATCTTTTAGGCAATTTGGCTCATTTTAATTAGGGAAGATATTTTCATTATTGACAGCAACTGGAACAATTATTGAACCACAGAGTATGTGCCTATCTGAAGCACGGGGTGATCTCAAATACAATAAGTGATCAACTGACCAGTTCTGTCTTTGTGATACAGAAAAGGGCATTAGTCAACTTTTTCCTCTCCACAAAATTCAATTTTATAAAATATTTTATTAATAAAAGGCATGGGGTTTCCTCTTTATTAATAAAAAGCATGGACAAGCATGTACATTAATTAAAATCTTCTTAATTTTTCTCTTTTATCTTATTTATATCTCTTCCATTCTAATGAATAGATTGTAGTAGTTCAATGTCTAGGTCTGAGCTTTCCTTCCAATGCTCTCTTTCCAAATAACATTATTAAACTGAACCTTCATTAAATTAATTACAAACCATAATTCACAGCAGGTTATTAAAAGAATATTATGACTTTTCTTATTTGTATGGACAATATCTTCAGTGTGATACAAACTACGGGATTTTTATGGGATTCTTATTCTAAAATATTGTAGTCATTGAAATACTGTTCATAGTTTCTGGAGAAATGTCTATTAGCCATGCAAATACAATCTATTTACTTTTTTTATAATAACTTTATTGTGCTATTACTAACAATCAAAACACATGTTCATATTAACATCAGTAGCTTGGATGATAGTTACTACAACATATGGTAATTCCTCTGGGTACACTCGTTTCTTTCAAATACCTAAACAAACTATGCCTGGAAGGGAAATCTGCTCCCACAAAGCATATTTTGGAATTTTTTAAAAAATGCTTTTTCTTGTTTCTCTTCAGAGTTGACAATGTTTTATTATCTTTTAAAAATTGTTTATTTTTATTTATTTGTTTACATCTGTGAAAACTCTATCTTAGAAAAATTTCTGGTAAAATATTTACTTATACAAAGAAATGTACAATTTGTAAACAGACACACACTTGAGGAACCATTAGAAATTTAACATAAATATTTGTCTATCTCTGGGATTCTGAAATATCTGGGAAAATCTGATGTGTAATTGGGGCGAGCTTCCTGCAGCTTTCAGTTAACTGAGGTAATTTCCTTGGATAGATAGTGCCCGTGTATTGCATGTTTGGGTCCATAATCAGTACATACTGATAAGAACAGCATGGTATCTGTGGCCTCAGGAATTCATGTCCGAACCTTATAAGAAAGCTGTTACCAGCAGAATCTGAAGGGCTTGTTTTTATAGTAATTTTTATTAGAGATAGTACATACCTTTATGTATATTTGCTACATTGTATAGTAATAGTATAATAACTAGAGCAGAGTGTTTGGTAAGCATTTGTTAAATTAGTGAATTATTCAATTAGAGGTAATTAACAGTGTCTATCCATAGTGAACGCCTTTATACTTAAAATGTTTCAGATGCTGGCACTGTATGATTAGAGTATCATCCAAGCTAACTGAGCATCTGTTATTATATATAATAGTAAATAATTTTGCAGTTTCTAATTTTCCCCAGGAAGGAAATCATGAACCACTTTAAAATAGCCATTGTGGAGCTTGCCTGAAGTCAACAATGTTGAACTCTACTCCACATTTTTTCAGGCATCTTCCATGAGCATCCTGTACATCCTTCCATGAGCATCCTGTACATGAGCATTCTGTGCATCCTGAGGTACTCAATATCCTCCATCCTCAACAAACATTTAAAGGCAATTAAAGTATAACCTAACATAATGTGTGATTTCTAAAAAGTAAATAGTTGTATGTGACCTTGAGGGCAAATCAAAGAACAAAGTCAAGGACAGAGAAAAATACTCAGTGTAGTATTTTGGTTGTGTCTTAGGCTTTGAGACAGACTTGAAGGTGACCTTATGGACCAAGAAAATTTCAATATTTCTCAAAGTTTTTCTGTGAAAATGGCAATTAACTTTATCCACATATAAATCAGACTGTGGGCCAGGAATCAGGGACACCTGTCCAATTAGTTTCCCTTTTCTTTTTTGGGAAGATGTGTCTGTACTTTTAGCTTAATGATTAAGGCAATATAACTTTTCAATTCAAAGAAGTCTTGCTGTGATGTACATTTCCTATTGTGCCATGATGCTTGAGTGTGTTCAAATAATTGACTCAGCAATCTCTCCAACATCTGCCTCTTCCCACCTTGAAAGAACATCCCCTTACAGAAAAGATAATGACATATAATTGGAGAGAAATTGACTTTATAGTTATAGTCCAATGATTGTGTGAATATAATTCCAACCTTATTCAGGTCTCTTTGGAATAAAAAATGTACATAAGTAGTGTATTACTTATATGAAAATGTAACACATGTATATAAGTAATACCTTTTATAAAAAATGTAACAAGATCCTTGGTGTGGTTTGTTTTAAAAATATTTTTAATTCAGTCAGGTCAAAAATACTGAGAACTATGTCTCTTCTATATTTTTCTCTTAGAATCAATTTATATTTTTGCTGGAAGAGTAGAAATGTTTAGATTAGAAGCTTAATATTAAGATAAATTATGAGATTTGAAATGGAGCACATATGAAAAAATGTTAGTCAATTGTTACCTAATGGTCAATAAAATCTCAAAAGATAAATATATTAACAACACAATAATAAATAATTATTATGGCAAGGAATTAGGTATGATTAACCACATCATGGTATATTAAGTGCCTTGATGAAAACATATCTGAAAGAAGTCTTTGATTGTGGGGTTTTAAATTAAGGAGTAATATTTGAAATATTCAGAAGGAGTCCTTCAACTGTAGGGGAGACTTTGCAGGGAGAATATTTGAAAGATTTTTTAAAAGAATCAAGTATTATCCTGTATTAGCTAGCTTTTTTTTTTTTTTTTGAGACAAGAGTCTTGCTCTGTCACCCAAGCTGCAGTGCAATGGCAGGATCCTAGGTTCAAGCTATTCTTCCGCCCCAGCCTCTCGAGTAGCTGAGATTACAGGCACCCGTCATCATGCCCAGCTAATTTTTGTATTTTTATAGAGACGAGGTTTCATTATGTTGGCCAGGCTGATCTTGAACTCCTGACCTCAGGTGATTCGCCCGCCTTGGCCTCCCAAAGTGCTGGGATTACAGGCGTGAGCCACCGTGCCCAGCCTTGGCTAGCTTTTAGAGTTTGAAATAATCCAGTTCCCTTCAATTCATCACTACCCTGACAAACACTGACATTTCCTCAGTAATGCTTATTTGCCGAGCTGCAATAGCTCAGGCTGAAATTTTTTGTGACTACAGAAATGCATCTGCCTGAAAATGTGTGCTGAGCCATGACTAGGCCATGGAATGTTTTCAAGGCCATTTTAAATCTTGTAAGGGAAACCATTTGCAGGACGCAGTGCAGGATTTTCTATATAACCTGTTTTCTCACTCTTGCTTTCTTTGGTAATTATGAAAGCAGGAGTTGACACTCAGTTGTTTGGAGACTTTTTTGTAGGTAGATGTATTACATACAGGAGAATATGAAAGTTTAATACAGGAAAAATATATTTTTTTCCATAATTTTAAACCAATATTAAGTCAATGTCCTTCTGATGTGTATGTAACCTTAGCTCCCCCAGCCTTTAGTAACTTAAGAGTTTTTTGAAAAATAAGTCACATTAATAAGAATAATCTGTTTTACTATCGTCCCTCATCTCTTCAGATGAAACAGCATCTTTTCTGCTGGCAAGGATACAAACTGAAATCACAATGAGATCCCAAACATATCTCTTCAAAAGGCACCTTTCTCACCTCCAGCCAGGTCTATTAGAAAATTGCTGACATATTATATTGGATACACATGTATGTAGTATATACCATATAATATGGCAATGTATATTTTTTATAGATATGTATGTTCTTGTCACTGAAAAATGTGTGACAACCATACATCACTGCCATTTCTCCTAGGATTTGAAGTATAATTTACATACAGTGAAAACAAACCTTTTTAGATTCATTCTGAGTATCAACAAACATTTACATCTGTGACCACCACCACAAATCAAGATATAGAATATTTCCATTACTCCTAAGAGTTGCTTAAGGCCTCTGTTACTCAATTCCTTCTGACTGCCCTCAATTCCTGGCAATTACTGTTCTATCTCTTGAATCTTGCCTTTTTCCTCAGAATATCATATAAATGGAACCATTCAGTATAAATCCTCCTATCTTTGGCTTCTTTCTGTTAGCATAATTCATTCGAAAAATATCAATTTTGTCAATTGTTTCAGTAGTGCCATTTATTTGTTTGTTGTTTGTTATTATTTTTTTTGCTGAGTAGTGTTGCATTTAGGAATAAAACACTTGTGTACCTCCACAATTTGATGAACATTGGGTCTTTTTCTAACACAGGTTTTGTGCAAATACAGTTTAATTTTGCTTGAGTAAATAGCTGGGAGTGAGAGTAATAGATTGCATGGTCAGTATTTTAATAAGAAACTCCTCAACAGCCCACAGGCATGCTATCCTGAATGCATGTAATCTCACGGATCTTGGAAGCTAAGCAGGGCAGGGCCTGGTTAGTACTTGAATGGGAGGAACTAACCAGCCAATTTCTAAAATGGTGTTCACATCCTGCACTATCATCAGCAACATAAGAAAGTTCCAGGTGCTCCACATCCTCTAATTTTTGGCATTGTTAGCTAAATTTTTGTTGTTTGTTATTTTTGTTTGTTTCAGTTTTGCCATTCTAATAGCTATGCCTGGTATCTAAAAGTAATTTTAATTTGCATTTCATTAATGACTAAATATTTTAAAGATATTTTCATGTCATCTGTTTCTCTTCTTTGGTGAAGCACCTTTTTACACATTTTTCATTTCACATATTATTTATTTTTCATTGCTTACTCTCTATATTTGTTATGTGCATATTAAATTCTTAACTATATAGGTGTTTTGAAAATGGTTAATCTCAAGCCGGTCGCGGTGGCTCACGCCTGTAATCCCAGCACTTTGGGAGGCCGAGATGGGCAGATCACGAGGTCAGGAGATCAAGACCATCCAGGTTAACACGGTGAAACCTCGTCTCTACTAAAAATACAAAAAAATTAGCCGGGCGTGGTGGCAGGCACCTGTAAGTCCCAGCTACTCGGGACGCTGAGGCAGGAGAATGGTGTGAACCCGGGAGGCGGAGCTTGCAGTGAGCCGAGATCGTGCACCCAGCCTGGGTGACAGAGAGAGACTCTGTCTCAAAAAAAAAAAAGAAAAGAAAAAGAAAAAGAAAATGGTTAATCTCAGTTTTTGTCTTTTTACTTTCCCTTTCTTAACAGTATCATTTGATGAGGAGAATTTTAAAAATTTTGATGAATGTCAATTTATCAAAATTTATCATTTTGCAATGATTTTGCCTTTCCTTTGAACCAAAGCCACAAAGATGTCTTTCTATATTTTCTTGTAGAAGGTTTCTAGTTATAGGTTTTACATTTCAGTCTTTGATATTATTTTTACATGTCATAATACATATTTAATAAAAATGTACCATATTAAACTTGCTCCATTTCATGCTATTTTATGTCATAGTATATTTTTATTTATTAGTTTTGTTTACTTTTTATTTTGAAGTAAATATAAATTCATAGGATGCTGAAAAAAATATTTTATAGAGAGGTCCCATCTAACCTTCCTTCAGTTTCCCCTAGTGGTAACATCTTTCATAACTTAGTGCAATATCAAAACCAGTAAATGAACATCGAGCTTTTTTAGATTTCACCAATTTTACATATATGCATTTGTCTGTGTGTGTTTTTACATACCTATGTAGTTTTATTACATGTGTGTGCATGTAACTATCACATCCCCGCTGTCTGTGCTACCTCTTTTTTGCTTAACATAAAACCCAATACCTTCCTTAAACCCTGGCTATCACTAATCTGTTCTCCAAATTTCTAACGTGTTATCTCAAAAATTTTATATAAATGAAGTCATATGTACAGTATTTAAAGTATATAACCTTTTGATACTTGCTTTTTAAAATTTAACACAATTCTCTTGCAATTCATCCAAGTTGCTTTTCTTGTCGTTGTTTGTTTTTTGACACAGTTTCACTCTGTCACCCAGGCTGGAGTGCAGTGGCATGATCTCTGCTCACTGCAACCTCTGCCTCCCGGGTTCAAGTGATTCTCATGCCTCAGCCTCCCAATTAGCTGGGACTACGGGCACCCATGACCACGCCCATCTAATTTCTTTGTATTATTAGTAGAGATGGAGTTTCACCATGTTGGCTGGGCTCGTCTCGATCTCCTGACCTCAAGTGATCCTCCCACCTCAGCCTCCAAAAATGCTGGTATTACAGGTGTGAGCCACTGCGCCCAGCATCCAAGTGGTTTTGTGTACCTATAATTAATTCATTTTGATTGCTGATTAGTGTCCAATGATTTGGATCTACCACAGTTTAACCACTCACTCACTGCCAGACATGTGAGTTGCTTTCAAGTTTTGGCTATTACAAATGAAGCTGCTATTAAAATTTGTGTACAGATTTTTGTGTGAAATGAGTTTTCATTCTTCTGGGATAAATGTGTAAGAGTACCATTGCTTGGTTGTATGGTAGTTGCATGTTAAGTTTTTCTTTAAAAAACTGTCAAATTGTTTTGTAGAGTATTATTTTACATTCCACCAGCAACTTATGAGGGATCAGTTTGCCCACATCCTTACTGTGGCATTTCCTGTTCTCATTATTTTTTATTTTAACAATTCTGATATTCAGGATAAACACCTGATTGCAGACATTTGTTTTAATATTGATTTCCATAGTGATGTTGGACATCTTTTTATATGCTGGTTTTCCTCTTGAATATTCTTTTTGATATAATACCTGTTCATGTCTTTTATGCATTTTACTTTTTGATATTTTTTTCTGTTACATTTTGAGATCCATATATATTATGGACACAAATCTTATGCAAAATAAGTAGTTTGAAAATATTTTCTCATATTTTGAAGTGGTTCATGGAGGAAAAAATAATAATGTTGATGAAGTCCAGCTTATCAATATTTTCTTTTATGGATTGCATATTTAATGGCAAGTCTGCAAATTATTCACCTAGTCCTAGATTTGACAAATTGCTCTTATTTTTCTTTAAAATTTCATTTTTAATAGTTTTACATTTTAAATATAAATATCAGATCCATTTTGAGTTAATTTTTGTATAAAGTGTGAGGATTAGGTACCACTTTATTTTTTTAACCTACAGATGCCAAATTACTCCAGTATTTTTTGTTGAAAAGACTATCTTTCCTCCTATTGATTACATAGATATACAGTAAGTTAAATATTGAAAAGTTATATTTCTCACTCTACTCTTTTTCAAAATTGTTTTAAGCTATTATGATTTTTGTCTTTCTATATACATTTTTAGAATAATCTTGTTTTTGTAATGCAACAAACTTCCTTGGACTTTGATAGAAATTACATTAAACCTATAGATTATTTGGGAAATATTAACATCTTTATTATGTTGAATCTTCCAATTCAAGAACATATGTCTATCCATTTATTTAGGCCTTTTTTGTTTCTTTCATTAGTATTGTCAACATACAGATCCTATACATAATATTTTAGACATAAATATTTATCATTCTTTTAGAGTAACTCCAAATAGCATTGTGATTTTAATATCATTTCTACACATTTGTTTTTAATGTATAGATATGTGATTAATTTTTGTGTTGAGAATCTTTAATGCTACAACCTTGCTAAATTTACTTATTAACTCTAGAAGTTTTTTGCTTTGTTTCCTTTTGTTGTTGTTTTTGTTGTTTTGTAGATTCCTTATGATTTTCTATGAAGGCCAGCATATCATATGGAAATAAGAGTGTTTTGTTTCCCCTTTCTAATCTCTCTGCATGACTTTTATTTCTTTCATTTACTTGGTTGTACTGGCTAGAACTTCCAGCACTATGTTGAATAAGAGTGGTGAGAATGGGTATCCTTGCTTTTTCTCAGTTTTAGGGGAAATTATTCAGTCTTTCATCATTAACTGTAATGCTAGCTGTAGGGTTTTTTTGTAGATACTCTTGATCAAATTGAGATAATTCCTCTCTATTTCTAACCACTGAGAGTGTTTTGGTTTTCGTGTTTTATAATGGATGGCTGTGAGAAAAAAATATGCATTTAGAGAGCTAAATTATAACAAAAGTCTAACTCAAATCTGTGAAAGCAACTTAGGAATAGAATAAGGCTATATTTTATAAAATTGCCTGACATATGCCAAAAGATACATAGTGACTATTTTATGGTGGTAAGTAGAGTAGAAAAGAGCGATGCATGTATCAAGATAACCTTGTTATCCTCTAGGACATGCAGAATGGTATATACTTTATATATATTTTTACATGTGTGAAAGTACTTTTAAATTAACAGAATACTTCCACCACAGAACTTTACTCTTTATTTCTATGCTAAATATCATAAAAATTTAAATTATCTGTAGCACTATATGTCTATTTTAGTAAAAAATAAATTTGTATTTTACATTTCATTCAGATTTATAAGCAGAGACCTCTTAAACACAAGTGACTTATCTTCCCATACATATTTCTGACAATATCAAGTTTAGAAAGTATGTGGTCTTGTTGTTGATTTTGCCATAATGGAATTGTTTGCCATTGCTTTGGTGGAACATTCCATTCCATCTATACATAGCACATCATTTAAAAATAATTCCTTCTTCGGTCATTAAAAGGATAAAAGAATAATGACTTTTCTTTCCCTCTCTCTCTCTTTTTTTTTTTGAGACAGAGTCTTGCTTTGTAACCCAGGCTGGAGTGCAGTGGCGCAATCTTGGCTCACTGCAACCTCTGCCTCCCGGGTTCAGGCAATTCTCATGTCTCATCCTCCCAAGAAGCCGGGATTACAGGCATGAACAACCACACTCGGCTAATTTTTGTGTTTTTAATAGAGACGGGGTTTTGTCATGTTGGCCAGGGTGGTCTCGAACTCCTGGCCCCAAGCAATCCACCCATTTCGACCTCCCAAAGTGCTGAGATGAGAGGCGTAAGCCACCATGCCTGGTCAGGAATAATGACATTTTTGTGGTAATAAATTTGATAATTTAAAAGAAATAGGCACATCCCATAAAAATTACGAACTACCAAAACTCAACCAAGATAGCATAAATTATCTAAAAAGTCCCCAAAACATTAGATATTTAATTTGCTATTTAAATTTCTTTAAAAAGAAATCTCTAGGTTAAAGTACTGTCACTGGAGAATTCCACGAACACATACAACCAAAGACAATTTTGAATACTCTCGCCTAGAAAATAAAAGAGGAAGGAATGTGTTTCCTTATTCGCTTTATGAGGCCAGTATTACCTTGACACTGAGAGTGTTCTCTGATGTACCAGACAAAGACATTACAAAACACAAAAATTTAAAGACCAATATCTCTCATGGATCTAGACACAAAAATACGTTAAACAAATATTAGCAAATCAAATCCAGCAGTATGGAAAAATAATTATACATCACAAATTAGTATATCCAGGGGTCGAAGTTTGGATCAACATTTGAAAATCAACAAATGTGATCTACTCTATCAACAAGCTAAAGAAGAAAAAAATATGATTATATTAATTGGCATTGGAAAAGCACTTGACAAACTCTAACAGCCATCATGAGACATGACTCTGCCACTAAAACAAACTTTAATTTAAAAAGCTAGAATTGAATTGTTAGTTATTTTCTAAATGAAGAAATAATGTATTCTACAGTACAAGTTTGAATTATATAGCTGTTGGGGCTCAGAAACAGATACCCCAAAATATCGCACTTTGACATGCTGAACTGAAGAAGTCTCAAGTTCTCTCTCACCATCTACCCTCCTCCCCACCAACTCCCACCTCTTGTCTCTTAGTTCTCAGTCCCTCCCTAAGCACAGGAAGAAGTTTTTCTCTGAAGTTCATTTATTTGCCTAATGTCCGGACACGCCAAAGAAGGAAACAATCATCTCTGATCCCTTCCCTGAGTTTTCGTTAACTAAACTCATATCATAGGGAGAAAGACAATAGGTCTGTCAACACACCTGGGCAGACTTTTGTCACAAACCATTGTCTGCTCTGCAAGCCCAACAGACTGTGTCCCAGGCCATTGTGTATTCTTCAAGCCCATAATTCCCCTAAAGAACACTTCTAAAATCATCCTCATTTCTCCATTCTCATTTCCCCTAAGAATAAGATCACGTAACTATCTGTAGCCTATTGCAGGTTGGATCATCTATCTGTGCACGGTATTTCTTCCCTATGCGTGCTAATCAATGTTTATGCCATTTCTCCTGTGAATCTGTTTTTTGTGAGTTGATTTGTCAGTGAAACTTCAGAGGGCAAAGCGAAAGATTTCCCTTGGCCTCTACCTAGCTTTCAGGCACTATAGAAAAATATAAAGGTTAAAGAGAGAGGAGATAAAACTTCATGTTTATTTTGGAAATCTGAAAGTTTATATTCACTTTGAAGATATATTAATATTTTCTTTTAGAACTCATATTTGGAAGAATGAACCCTCCCTCCCCTATCCACTAAGTAACTGTTTGTTGATCCTGAGAAATGAAGTATTTGAAATTCATTTGTGGAAGTATGTAGTTTATCTAGCATGGCTTCTCCATGCCATGAACCATGGGACAGATTAAGGAAGACAGTTTGCCTGCTGAAAATAACATTCACCAAATCAGAGTTTTTCAAACTTGTAGACTGCAGCAGAATATTTTATCTTTAACACTTCCAATGGGAGATTCCATGAACATAATCATGAAGTATGTATTTAGATAATCACGGAATGTAAATAATAGATGTCCATGTTTTGCCGAGATGAGTCATTAACACCATATAATCAGACTGCCTGTCTCTTATTTCACTTTTATCAGTCAAACTTCTAATTATAATTTGAATCCCTGTAGAAATTTGACTACAATATTTAAATATATGTTTAAGATTTATTAATTTGAAATTAATTAAAATATTTACTTACTATCATTATATTAATGCTTTGGCATTCTGAGTTTTTGAGTTTATGTGTTTGCTTGTATATGTCTGGTGAATATGTATTTGCAATAACTGGCAGCAGTATGTTCACTGATAGGAACAAAACTAATGTAAATTGACACACTTTTTTTTCCTTTTATTGGGAGAAACTAAAGATATTATACTTTTTCACAATCTTTGTGGCTGCTCTGGTACACCTCTGCCACAAATAAAACATTGAATGTTTTGTCAGGTTTAAATGTTACACAGATCCTAGGGGGAGTTACTCTACAGCATCTTCAGAATCATACTACTCATTTGATATGAGAGTCAAATATTGCTATGGAATCAAGACAATGCAAATTTCCTCCAAAGGTGTGAAAATACACTGTCAAGCAAATTGTTCCTCTTTATCACGTATTATTTTTTTCTGTTCAAATAATCGAAGGAGACATTTCTGGGGTGATTTGCACTTATCCTACCTCCCATCTACTTTCTAGTAGATCCTCAAGGAGAATATATGCCACCAGCTGCTTGGCTTTTATGGGTTTGGGGAAAATAAAAAAGATTCTGAATGGATGTTGGGTGTTAAGTAGACTTTTTCAAGTGTGCTTTGTCTTTGTCTAGAGTCAGATTGTTCCAAGACATCTCCCCAAATGAGAACATCTTTGAAGATAGAGCATATCCACGGACCAAAATGTATAACCTGCTCTGTATCATATTATATTTTATTTTTAAAATAAATTAGTTTGAAAAACAATTAGACACAGTAATCCCATTACTGGGTATATACCCAAAAGAATATAAATCATCCTATTATAAAGATACACACATGCATATATTCATTGCAGCACTATTCACAACAGCAGACATGGAATCAACCCATCAATGATAAAGTGGTTAATGAAAATGTGGTACAAATACAACTATGGAATACTATGCAACCATAAAAAAGATTGAGATCATGTCCTTTGCAGGAACATGGATGGAGCCGGAGGCCATTATTCTTAGCAAACTAATGCAGAAACAGAAAATCAAATACCACATGTTCTCACTTACAAGTGGGAGCTAAATGATGAGGATACATTGGCACATAGAAAGGATCAACATTCACTAGGGCCTATTAGAGCTTGGATGTTAGGAGGAAGGGGAGGAACAGGAAAAATAACTAATAGGTACTAGGCTTAATAGGTACTAGACTACTAATACCTGGGTGATGGAATAATCTGTATAACAGACTCCCATGACACATATTTACCTATGTAACAAACCTGCACTTGTACCCCTGAACTTAAAATAAAAGTTTTTTTTTTTCTTTAAAGAAAACATCTAGTTAACTTCAGGTTCTATAGATATCTATTTGTATATTGCAATGTGTCTATCACATTTACTTTTCTAATTTCCTTAATTTTCTTTTCCTAATATTTTATAAATCAAGATCATATTTACTTTCATATTAAAATTAGGCCATCTATAGAGAAATGCTAGTAATTATGGCATGAGGCACTGATTCTCTTCTATTAAAATTGAGAATAAAATTGGAGAAAAATGTCAAAAATAAAATACTTTGGAACTCTGAAAATTAACCAAAGGCAGAAAACAAACTGATATGTAATTCTTGAAAATTGCAGAAGCATTACTTAAGGATGAAGTGAATCTGTGGACTGCTTGCCTGGGACTATTTGCATTTATTCCTATATCTCCTTCTAAGTTAGCAAAAATTCTAGTCATACCAGGGTAGATCTGGAGTAAAAAATAGTGATTTTGCTGGCAAGGAGTTCTGTGAGGGAGGTGAGAATCAATGTTTGAATAGCTAAAAGTGACCAACTTATTTGGAAATGGACAATAAAAATTTTCAGGTTTGTTAGTTCAACATGGTAATCATACAAGAGGAACAGTGAAAAAAGAAATGTAATCAGAATCACCAGAAGTGAGAGCCCATTGGTCTGATGTAAGTTTTCTATACATCTCTGGGTGAAATGAAACTACACACAAATGTGGGAGATAAGAGAGAGGCCTGGTAACAAATAAAATAAAACCACCACCACCACCACCAACAACAACACACACACACACACACACACACACACAAGGGAGACTTCAGAACCATTTGCAACTTTAAACGTGTTCTCTAACCCACACAGATGGAACAATGAACCCAGGCAAGAAACCTTAAAAAAAATTAGCTCTCCAAACATAATTAAATATGTAATTTTTTTAATTATGTGTCAGAAACAAGCATTTCATTTTATTATTTTTTCTTTTTTTAAATTAAATCCATGTTTCCATGAAGAAACAGGCATTTTAGAGCAGTAAATAATTTTACCATTAAACACACATAACATGATGGATAGCAACCACCTATGCAGTGCACACCAATAGCATTTTAAAATTTACCCCCACATTACAACTGAACTTCCTAATTGTTCCTCACATATAGGCTTCAGTACCAACTTGTTTTCATCTACTCAAGAAGGTATACACAATGAAAATGAAAGAGAATAACTTTGATAGATATTGAGATTTGTTTGCACGCTTTCACATTTGATACTTCTATTACTAATGCATTATTTGTGGCACACTGCAAATTGACTCTTGTATACCATTAGAACCACTGTTTTCAAATAACAATAGTTATTTGAAAACCAAATTTAATTAAGTAAAAACCACAGTGTTCTTATAGTGGAAATGGGAAAGCAATGATAATCCCACACCATTATAGCCAAATGCAAAGTTACATCAGAAAAGGAATGAAAAGTTTCCCTTAATGGAAAGGAGAAAAAACAGCACTTAAAGATTTCCTGTTGATTTAGACATTTTTTTATCAATGATTAGAGAAAAATATAGTATCTCTTCCAGAAGAGTATGGGAAAAGAGGATTAGAGGAAACTCAAATTCACTATTTATGTGTAAACATTTGTTCTTCTTACATATAAAAGCAAAACAAGTAATATAAGAAGTTGAAGAGTCTTCAGAAATAAAGTCAAAGTAATCAGAAGATCAAAGCAAGAGTGAAAAATATGAAAAAAGAAAAATATGACTATTGTACTGGAAATTGAGCAAAACAAGGAAATCCATATTAACTAACCAGAATTCCAAGTTGGACCACTATTATATGGCAGCATAAACTTCGCTGGCATATATCACCTTCTACCCCCATTGTGAAGTCTTATGAGGTGAGGACTGAGTCTTTTTAACTTGTTTTTTCACAATATCAGATTCAAACAGAAGACCAAAAAGCATACCAAGTGTTACAGTAAAAAACATAAATATTGGAGATAACACTAAATTTCAAGCTGTAGGCTAGAATAGGTCTCTAAGGAAACTCCTTCACTAATGTTCTAAAAACCTACAGAAAGTGAGACTTTTCTTCACTATTCACTTGCGGACCTTTTATTTTCCTTCTTCGTTTTCCTAATACTTACTGAAGTCTAACTATGGCTAGGTCCTTAATAAGGTCTTTTATTTTGTTCTTTTCTTTAATTATCAATATTTTAACGTAGGTACTAATATGTCCAACTATTTAACAAGAAACCTAAAACGCAGGGAGTTAAACAAATTTGTCTGGGCCAGGCACGGTGGCTCACGTCTGTAATCTCAACACTTTCAGAGTCGGAGGCAGGAGGCTCGCTTGAACCCAAGAGTTCAAGACCAGCCTGGGCAACACAGGGAGACCCCATCTCTACAAATAATAATAAAAAAGAATAACTGGGCATGGTGGCATATGCTTTTGGTCCCAGCTACTTGAGAGACTGAGGAGAGAGAATTTGCTTGATACCGGGTGGTTGAGGTTGTAGTGAGCCCTGATTGTACCACAGTACTCCAGCCTGAGTGACAGAGCAAGACGTGCCTTAAAAACAAAAGAAAAGAAAATTTGTCCAACGTGATACCTTGTTTTGTTCTACAAAAGTAGAATCTTCTTTTAGACGCAAGACCATCTTCTTAAATGACCTAGGTATCTTAAGTAAAAAAAAAAAAAAAAAAAAAATCATTCTGAGGAGACTAAACAGTATTTTTTGTAACAAAGGAGTGAAAGTAAGAAAAAGATAAGAAACCTGCCAATTTTTTTTTTTTTTTTTTTTTTGAGACGGAGTCTCGCTCTGTCGCCCAGGCCGGACTGCGGACTGCAGTGGCGCAATCTCGGCTCACTGCAAGCTCCGCTTCCCGGGTTCACGCCATTCTCCTGCCTCAGCCTCCCGAGTAGCTGGGACTACAGGCGCCCGCCACCGCGCCCGGCTAATTTTTTGTATTTTTAGTAGAGACGGGGTTTCACCTTGTTAGCCAGGATGGTCTCGATCTCCTGACCTCATGATCCACCCATCTTGGCCTCCCAAAGTGCTGGGATTACAGGCGTGAGCCACCGCGCCCAGCCTTACCTCCCATTATACTTAAAAAGGCAAAATGAAACTTGAAGGTATATAGTTATATACTCCTAGTTTTCATTTTATTCTGACTTCGTGATTGAGAAGTAAAAGAAAACAGAAATAAGTCCTAATGTTTCAATAAAATAGTTTTGCACTTTCCATAAAGATATAGGAGAGTTCTTTCAAACTTAAAATACTCCCGTATTATTTTACCAGAGACAATTTAGAATTGTTACGGAGGGATAATTAAAGATAATTTATCCCCTCTTTTCCTTATTCCCTAATTGTAATTGGAATGCAATGAGGACCAGGATAAAACCTATTTTTAATGATTTAAGATATAGTAAAAATATTTTATTGTATACTTTACTAACTAAAACAGAATTTTACTTTATTGATCATTACTTAATACCAACTATGACAAGGCGGACTAAACAGCACAAGCCAAAAGACATTTGGATTTTCTACTGACAACAAACTGAAAATGGATTTGCTACTTGGATCTGTGCAGGTGTCTGTTTACTCTGCAGGTGTCTGCATGTGTGTTTAATTGATTTTGAAAAAAGTACAGTGCGAGAAGATAAGCAGTAACCTGAGGGTGAAGTCCCACTAGTAAAGTTATAAATAATAAATTTCTTCCCTTATAATTAATTTAAATAAATATCAACCTGCATTCTTAGTAAAGAAATAAGCTCAGTAGATGAAAGTGTCTTGTCTCACACACACACACACACACACACACACACACAGAGAGAGAGAGAGAGCAAGAGAGAGAAAAATCACTTAACTAGGGATGATCTATCTGGAAGAAAACATTTAAATGATTGGCTAATTATTAGGCCATTTAAAAGTAACTTAAGATTATTTATTTATGGATATATTGCAGTAGCTTAAAACTAACATTGAATTGCAAAACAGCGTGGACATAACAAGGTGAGACACAGTTTAATAAAAATAAATCATGACTTGCCTACAGATTTTTATGAGAAAAAAATCTAACCAATAAAGTGACTGTATTTAGTTTTGACAATATTGAGTCTTCCTATCCGTGTGTGTAGAGTATCTCTTCATTTATTTATTATTTGATTTTTTACTAGAGTTTCATAATTTTTCTTACATACATCTTATGTATACTTTGTTAGATTTATGCCTCAATGTTTCATTTCTTTGTTGCTGCTAATGTAAATGGTATTGCAGTTCAGTTTCAAGTTCCAGATTTTCATTGCTGGTATGTAAGAGAGTGATTGACTTTTGTATATTAACCTTGTACTCTACAAACCTGCAATAATCACTTAGTAGTTTTCACCATTATCTCTCTTTTTTTAAATACATCATTCTGTTAATGTTGTATTCAATAAATCTTTGCCCTATCCAAGGTCACCACATTTTTTTTTAATTTTCACATTTGTATTTTTGATTAATTGACATTATTATAATATGATATTTCTATTTCTTATAATACTTATTCTACAACAAACTTTGATATTAATATAGCTATCCCCTTTTTTCATTTGTTTAGTGTTTTCATGGTATATCTTTTATCATTTTTGTTTTTCCCTATATATATATTTATATTAAATTCAGGTTTCTTTAGATAGTTTATAATTAGGTCTTGCCTTAGATCTAATCTGATATTTTCTTGTTTTAATTGGTGTGGTAAACCATTTATATTTAATATAATTATTGTTGTATTGAGATTTAAATTTGTCATCATCCTAGTTGTTTTCTATTTGTACCATATCTTTATTTCCTTTTCCTATTTTATTGCCTGCTTTGCATTGAGAATGTTTTATTTTCCTTTATTGTAACTATCAAAATGCTATGTCTACCATTTTAAAGTATTCTGATTTTTATTCTAAGATTTCCAAATACGTATTTAATGATATTCTACTTTCAAATATAATACTTCCAGTATAATTAAATAATCTTACATTATACTTCCAATTTTTCCATTCCATCTTTTGAGCTTTTGTTGGTGTATATTTAAAATTTATATATATTATACATCCTCAGTAATTGCTAGTATTTTTTTTTCTGTAGAGAGTCAATTCTCTTTTAGTGTAGATGTTTGCAAACTATGGCCTATGAGCCAAATCTGGTTGGTTTCCTGTTTTAGTAAGAAAAATATTTGTTAAAATGCAGCCACAGTCTTTAATTTACATGTTTCTGTGGCTAATTTGTGCTGCAATGATAGAGTTGAGTAGTTGCAACAAAAACTCAGTCGGAAATATTTACTATCTGCCCTTTCTATAAAATGTTTGTCTACCCCAACCTCTTTCACAGTAATTTAAAATGATAAAAATATGTATTTTTAATTTATGTTTATTTTAAACAACTTTATAGGTCTTCATTTCTTTTTATAATCCAAGTTTCTATTTTTTTTTTTTATCATGTCTCTTCTGTCTGAAGAAATTTAGATATTTCTTGGTGCAAGTGAGCTGGTAGTGAAATCTCTCCACTACCAAATTACTGCCAAAAAAAGTTTTGATTTTATCTTTACTGTTGAAAGTTATTTTTGCTAGGTATAAACTCTAGGTTAACTGCTTTGCTTTATTTTGTTTTGTTTTCATCTTTTGGCCCTTTAAAGATGTAAGCCTACTGTATTCTGGCTTGCATAGCATCTGAGATGAAGTCTGCTATAATTATTATATTTGTTCTTCTATATATAAAATAGCTCTTTTCTCCGGATGCTTTCATGATTTCTCTTTTTTTTTTTTTTTTTTTTTTTTTGAGACGGAGTCTTGCTCTGTCCCCCCGGCTGGAGTGCAGTGGCGTGATCTCGGCTCACTGCAAGCTCTGCCTCCCGGGTTCACGCCATTCTCCTGCTTCAGCCTCCCGAGTAGCTGGGACTACAGGCGCCCGCCACCACACCTGGCTAAGTTTTTTTGTATTTTTTAGTAGAGATGGGGTTTCACTGTGTTAGCCAGGATGGTCTCGATCTCCTGACCTCATGATCCATCCGCCTCGGCCTCCCAAAGTGCTAGGATTACAGGCTTGAGCCACCGCGCCCGGCCCATGATTTCTCTTTATCTTTGTCTATCAGCAGTTTAAATATAATGTGTCTAAGTTTTTGTTTCTTTATATAAATGTCTTACTGATTTTGAAAAATTCTCAGTCATTATTTTTTCAAATATTTTTCTACACATCTCATTCTCTCTTAACCTTCTGGGATTCTAATTGCATATATTTTAGACTGTTTGATACTGCTCCACAACCCTTGATGCTCTTTTATTATTTTTTTTTACTTTTAGACAATAAATGTATCTATTTGTCTCTTATACCCATAATAATGTGAGATAGATAGAATGTTTTTGCCTTTTTATCTCTTTGTATTTTAATTTTTAATTTTTATTTTGGTATATTCAAATTCATTGTTTTTTTTTTAAGTTGCTTGTTTTTACATTTGCTCCTAGTCTGATGATTATAAAATAATTCAGTTTTGTAAATGTCTTGGTTATTTGCCATTCTCTTAATAGTTGGCTATTTTTACTTGCTTGTTTTGTAAATCTCTTAAAATTTTGTTGAATGCCAGTCATCATAGGCATGATGAGGTAGGAGACTAGAAGAGTAGAGACACAGGTAAATGTTTTCCCCAGAAATGGGCATGCCTCTCCTTCTGCAATGAATCTGCAATGAATTATTGTAAAGGTCGAGTCACTCTCAGCAAGAGTAGAGTTGGGTGATTATTTTCAGTGGTTCATCATCACTAGCTTCAATTTTGTATAGTATTATCTTTTGACTAAGTTGGGGCATGTGTTGCCAAAGAACTTTCTCAATATTCCTATTCTGCCTTCAGCTATCAACCTTTCATGTACCTAGATAACCATATGGAAAAAATGAACTTTATATTTTACCACATGCAAAATAAATTGCAAGTTAGTCATAAACCTAAACCTAAACATAAAAGCTAAACTCCTTAAGCCTTTAGGAAAAATAAGGAGAAAAAAAGTATTGCTGTGACTTGGTAGTGGACAAAAGTTCTTAAAATATCTTAGAAACCCATAATTATATAAGAGACCGATAAATTCGATATCGCCAAAGTAACAAATTCTGCTATGAGCAGGCATGATTACCAAAATGAATGCGGATGCTATAGACAGGGATAAAATATTTACACAACAGATATCTGATAGAGACTAGTATGTAGAAGTTATGCAGAGGATAGAGAGTAATATACAGGAGATATTTAAAACCATACCATGATAAGATAAACACTCCAAAAATAGTCAAAGTATTTTAATATACTTCACAAATAAAAATATGTGAATTAAATAATAAACACATAAAAACAGGCTCGGCCTCACTAGTCATAAGAAAAAAGCAATTAAAACCAGTATGAGGTACCGAAACACAACCAATAGAATAAATAGACTGGCAATACCAAATATTGCTAAAGGTTATCGATGATGGGAAATAACTCAAAACTCTTATGCATTGTTGATATGAGGGTAAAATTTTATACCTTAGTTTCTTTATAACTAACCATAACCTATAGTTATACCTATCTTGTCCTTTTATAGATTTGTAAGAGACATTTATATGAATGCTCATTGCTTTATTCATAACAGTACAAAACTTAAAATGGATATGGTATCCATCAGTAGAATGGTTAAATGTGGTGTAGCATATTTAGTTAATGGAATATTATTTATCAGTAAAAATGTACAAAGAACTGATACATACAACATGATTTTAAAAATATGCTGGATGAATAAGTCGTACAAATAATGTATGATTTACATAATGTTCTATAACAGGCAAAACGAATGCCAGATAAACATCAGAGCAGTGCTTGTTCTTGTGGGAGAGGGGTGGCTTGAGAAAAAGCATATGTTAATTTCCTTATCTTGATAGGCTGTATTTACTTTTAATCTGATCATAAAAGAGAGTGACAGGCCCTTTTAGAATCATCCTTCAATTTTCTGGAAATCCCAATAAAACAATGACAATGTATACAAGGAGCCAGAAGATTGTGTCTTTCTCTTAATGGAGTTTTAAGACTTTGAACACTTTAATTACCTGTTTTATTACCTGCTGTAGTAGGCTTAATAGTGGTTGCCCAATAATGTTCATGTCCTAATCCCTGGAATCAGTTACTGTGTTATTTTATATAGGAAAAGGAACTTTACAGACATGATTAATTTAAGGATTTTGAGGTGTGAGACAATCCTGGATGCCTGGATTATCCAGGTGGGCCCAACGTGTAATGATAAGGCTTCTAATGAAAGGGTGGCATGAGGATAAAAACTAGCAGTGGAAGATATGACAATGGCAGCAAGAGGTTGGAGTGATGCAAGGAAATTACCATAATCCAAGGAATACAGGTGGCCTCTAGAAGCTCAACAAGGAAATAAAATGAATTGTCCCCTTGGTCTCCTAAAGGAACCAGTGCAGTTGACATTTTGACTTTATCCCAGTGAGGCTGATTTGAAATTTGAATCTCCTAAACTGTAAGGTAAACTTGTGTTCATTTAAGCTACTAAATCAGTGTTAGTTACAGAAGCAACAACAACCAAATATATCTGCCATATTCATGTTTTACTCTGATTAAACTCTAGCTTCAAAGGTGGCATGGGTATCAGGGTTAGAAGAAAAAAGCAGTGGAATATTGAAGATTTCTATTCTCCTATTTTTCATGATCTAAACAGATTCCATTAGATCATTCAGATAGCTACCTTAGAAGAATTAAATCACAGAATTATAGTGGGGAAAAAATTTACAGACTGTTTCTTCAAATGTTTCATTTTATAGTTGAAGAAACTGAAACCCAGAGAGGTGAATTTATTTTTCAAAAGTTTCAAAGGTGCCACAGATTCAGCAACCAGTGTTCTGAGTATTCAGAACGCCCAGTAGGCATCTCCTATAGAAAGAAAAGATGCTGATTTGCAAACTAAAATACAGTCTACTTGAAAATTTCATGTTGCCCTTAATTTAGCCTTACAGATACGTGAAGATTGTGAAGACTGAATAAAATGGAGATTTTAAATAAAAGTGTTTATATAAATTGTGAACTATAAAACAGCTGTTAGATTCAGTACTTTGATTTGTAAATGAAAAGATTTTCCCTTTGGAAACACACTACCCTATAAATTAAATCAATTTTGGGGGGAGATATTTTGCCCTTTATTGAACAGATCACGACATTCTTATTAGTAAAGCTGACACATTGCAGACTCTGAGGCATTTATTGACTAGCTCCCACTTCATTTTCTCGTAAAATGTGTCATCTATTTTTTTCATATATATTAATCCTCAAGATTGAAAAATGTACAAATACTGTGCATTTATCTTTTTCAGTTAAGGGATATTTGTCAAATTTATATGTTCTCTTTTTGGGGTACTTTTGATACTAATAAAAGTGGCTATCAGTTTTTAACAATGTGTTTTAATGCAAATACATCTGTGAAAGTCCATAACATGGCTGCCAAGCTGCTTTAACACCCTGCTGTAAATGACCATGTATGTAAAGTAGTGAATATATTATAGAAATCCTTTACATTTGATTTCACACAGGCACACTTTGGTTAACTTAAAGGACAGAGTTTGAAGGAAATGTCAACGTAAGATCAAACAGAAAAGGATATTACAACTTAGTGTTGACAGAATCCCTCTAAACCCTTTTGAAAGAAACAGTGTCAGCTTTCTGCAAGTAGCTAACCTAATACTGCTTGCTAGTCCCTGATGAATGAAGGATAGGACTCATAAAATGATCAGGAAAGAAAAATAGCAAATAAAAACCTCTTTTGTCCCAGAGCCCTCACCCTTCTCCTTTCAGATGCTTTATTTTCATTTTTTGCCTCTGTACACCATCAGAAATACACATATAAATCTTTATGTGTATATATATGTATAGATTATATACATGCTGTGTACATAATACATGTAGCTTGATTCCACCAGTAATGATGTATGTATATATGTGTCTGTGTGAGTGTGTGTGTGTGTGTGCCTAGTTATATTGCAGGAGCCACAAGCTAAATATCTACAAAGTTGAGGTACATAATAATGAGAAAAATGGCTACAATATATACATATTTGTGTGCTTTCTGAGTAATAAAAATTGCATCAAAATAAATCAAAGAGCATGAATGTCTGTACCATTTGAATCAGGAAACCCTTGCTCAGATATTTCCATATTTGATTATAAGGAATATGTTGCCAGAGAAGCAAAAATCAATGTTTCATGTAAAATCTCTTGGTTTTTTCACATGGGCCTACCTACTTTTAAAAAAAAGCACTACACTGGGTGCATAGAATATTTCTGACTGTCAAATGCTGCCAAATGTCTGCCAATTCAATACGTATCAAAACAAAGTAAAATCATATTCTCTCCAAATTGGTTTTATAAATTTAGTGTTATATGACTAAGTCA